>NC_000010.11:94537034-94840064 GCF_000001405.40 Homo sapiens | reverse complement strand
AAAAGTAACTTTTAGAGGAAACCTCATTGTGAGCACACCTCACCAGTTCAGAGTTATTCTTAGTCAAAAAAAAATAAAAAAAAGCAAAAAGGTAGCTCACTAACTCAAAAATCTTAACGTATGGGGCTATAAGGTTAGAAAAAGGTAACGTAACTCCAACCTCTGATAATTCCCTTAACCCAGCAGATTCCCTAACAGGGATTTAAATCTTAATTACCATACAACAGTCCGACCAGACATAGGAGGAACTCCCTTCAGGACAGGATGATAGATGGTTCCTCCCAGGTGACTGAGGAAAAAACCTCAATGGACATTCAGTAATTGATACAGAGACTCTTGTGGAAGCAGATTTAGAAAAATTGCCTAATAATTGGTCTCCTCAAAAGTGCGAACTCTTTGCACTCAGCCAAGACTTAAAGTACTTACAGAATCAAAAGACTATCTCAATCCTGACTCAAAAGATTCAATACACCCTCTCTGAAACAAATTTGCATAAGAACTGTTGTTTATGCGAATGCATGTTGATGGGGCAGCTGGGTTGTTATGAAATACTCAGGAACCCAGCCCAGCTCTAGGACTCACCCCTGAGTACAAAGGCAATGTTAGGCATGCTGGTAAAGGACCACTAGAACCCAGCAGCCCGGACCCCTTTCTTTGTGGTCAAGAAAGGCAGGAAAAACAGTTGCAGGACTGCTACATCGGTAAGCATAAGTAATCCGATTAGCAGAGGTCCATGGGTGGTTATACAGCCTGGAAAGGAACTCACCTCTGAGTGCAAAGGCAATGTTGGGCAAGCTGGTAAAGGACCACTAGAATCCAGCAGCCAGGGCCCCTTTCTTTGTGGTCAAGAGAGATGGAAAAACAGATGCAGGACTGCTACATCGGTGAGTGTAAGTAATCCGATAAGCAGAGGTCCATGGGTGGTTATGCACCCTGGAAAGGAATAAGCATTAGGACCATAGAGGATGCTCTAGGACTTATGCTCATCAGAAAATGACTAGGGGTGTTGGCTTCCCTATGTTCTTTTTTCAGATGGGAAACATTTCCCCCAAGGCAAAAACACCCCTAAGATGTATTCTGGAGAATTAGGACCAATTTGACCCTCTAAGAAAGGGTCAAAGAAAGAAATGACTTATATTTTTCTGCAGTACCGCCTGGCCATGATATCCTCTTCAAGGGGGAGAAACCTGGCCTCCTGAGGGAAGTATAAATTATAACACCATCTTACAGCTAGACCTCTTTTGTAGGAAAAAGGCAAATGGAGTGAAGTGCCATATGTACAACTTTCTTTTCATTAAGAGACAACTCGCAATTATGTAAAAAGTGTGATTTATGCCCTACAGGAAGCCCTCAGTCTACCTCCCTATCCCAGTGTCCCCCTGACTCCTTCCCCAGCTAACAAGGATCCCCCTTCAACACAAACCGTCCAAAAAGAGATAGATAAAGGGGTAAATAATGAACCAAAGAGTGCCAATATTCCCTGATTATGCCCCCTCCAAGCAGAGGGAGGAGGAGAATTCGGCCCAGCCAGAGTGCATGTACCTTTTTCTCTCTCAGACTTAAAGCAAATTAAAATAGACCTAGGTATTTTAGATCAGATAACCCTGATGGCTATATTGATGTTTTATAAGGGTTAGGGCAATCCTTTGATCTGACATGGAGAGATGCAATGTTACTGCTAAATCAGACACTAACCCCAAATGAGAGAATTGCCACCATATCTGCAGCCCAAGAGTTTGGCAATCTCTGGTATCTCAGTCAGGTCAATGATAGGATGACATCAGAGGAAAGAGAATGATTCCCCACAGGCCAGCAGGCAGTTCCCAGTGTAGACCCTCACTGGGACACAGAATCAGAACATGGAGATTGGTGCCACAGACATTTGCTAACTTACGTGCTAGAAGGACTAAGGAAAACTAGGAAGACTATGAATTATTCAATGATGTCCACTATAACACAGGGAAAGGAAGAAAATCCTACTGCCTTTCTGGAGAGACTAAGGGAGGCATTGAGGAAGCATACCAGGCAAGTGGACATTGGAGGCTCTGGAAAAGGGAAAAGTTGGGAAAATTATATGTCTAATAGGGCTTGCTTCCAGTGCAGTCTACAAGGACACTTTAAAAAAGATTGTCCAAGTAGAAGTAAGCTGCCCCCTCGTCCATGCCCCTTATGTCAAGGGAATCCACTGGAAGGGCCACTGCCCCAGGGGATGAAGGTCCTCTGAGTCAGAAGCCACTAACCAGATGATCCAGCAGCAGGACTGAGGGTGCCTGGGGCAAGCCCCAGCCCATGCCATCACCCTCACAGAACCCCGGGTATGCTTGACCATTGAGGGCCAGGAGGTTAACTGTCTCCTGGACACTGGTGCAACCTTCTCAGTCTTACTCTCCTGTCTCGGACAACTGTCCTCCAGATCTGTCACTATCCAAGGGGTCCTAGGACAGCCAGTCACTAGATACTTCTCCCAGTCACTAAGCTGTGACTGAGGAACTTTACTCTTTTCACATGCTTTTCTAATTATGCCTGAAAGCCCCACTCCCCTGTTAGGGAGAGACATTCTAGCAAAACCAGGGGCCATTATACACCTGAACATAGGAGAAGGAACACCCATTGGTTGTCCCCTGCTTGAGGAAGGAATTAATCCTAAAGTCTAGGCAACAGAAGGACAATATGGATGAGCAAAGAATGCCTGTCCTGTTCAAGTTAAACTAAAGGACTCCACCTCCTTTCCCTACCAAAGGCAGCACCCCCTCAGACCCAAGGCCCAACAAGGACTCCAAAAGATTGTTAAGGACCTAAAAGCCCAAGGCCTAGTAAAACCATGCAATAGCCCCTGCAATACTCCAATTTTAGGAGTACAGAAACCCAATGGACAGTGGAGGTTAGTGAAATATCTAGGATTATCAGTGAGGCTGTTGTCCCTCTATACCCAGCTGTACCCAGCCCTTATACTCTGCTTTCCCAAATACCAGAGGAAGCAGAGTGGTTTACAGTCCTGGACCTTAAGGATGACTTTTTCTGCATCCCTGTACATCCTGACTCTCAATTCTTGTTTGCCTTTGAAGATCTTTGAAACCCAACATCTCAACTCACCTGGACTGTTTTACCCCAAGGGTTCAAGGATAGCCCCCATCTATTTGGCCAGGCATTAGCCCAAGACTTGAGTCAATTCTCATACCTGGACACTCTTGTCCTTCAGTACGTGGATGATTTACTTTTAGCTGCCTGTTCAGAAACCTTGTGCCATCAAGCCACCCAAGCGCTCTTAAATTTCCTCACTACCTGTGGCTACAAGATTTCCAAACCAAAGGCTCAGCTCTGCTCACAGCAGGTTAAATGCTTAGGGCTAAAATTATCCAAAGGCACCAGGGCCCTCAGTGAGGAACGTATCCAGCTTATTCTGGCTTATCCTCATCCCAAAACCATAAAGCAACTAAGAGGGTTCCTTGGCATAACAGGTTTCTGCTGAATGTGGATTCCCAGGTATGGTGAAATAGACAGACCATTATATACACTAATTAAGGAAACTCAGAAAGTCAATATCCATTTAGTAAGATGGACACCTGAAACAGAAGTGGCTTTCCAGGCCCTAAAGAAGTCTCTAACCCAAGACTCAGTGTTAAGCTTGCCAACAGGGCAAGACTTTTCTTTATATAACACAGAAAAAAAACAGGAATAGCTCTAGGAGTCCTTACACAGGTCCAAGGGATGAGCTTGCAACCCGTGGCATACCTGAGTAAGGAAACTGATGTAGTGGCAAAGGGTTGGCCTCATGGTTTACAGGTAGTGGCAGCAGTAGCAGGCTTAGTATCTGAAGAAGTTAAAAGAATACAAGGAAGAGATCTTACTGTGTGGGCATCCATGATGTGAATGGCATACTCACTGCTAAAGGAGACTTGTGGCTGTCAGACAACCACTTACTTAAATATCAGGCTCTATTACTTGAAGAGCCAGTGCTGCAACTGCGTGCTTGTGCAACTCTTAACTGAGCCACATTTCTTCCAAATAATAAAGAAAAGATAGAACATAACTGTCAACAAGTAATTGCTCAAACCTACACCACTCGAGGGGAACTTTTAGAGGTTCCCTTGACTGATCCTGACTTCAACTTGTACACTGATGGAAGTTCCGTTGTAGAAAAAGGACTTCAAAAAGCGAGGTACACAGTGGTCAGTGATAATGGAATACTTGAAAGTAATCTCCTCACACCAGGAACTAGTGCTCAGCTGGCAGAACTAATAGCCCTCACTCGGGCACTAGAATTAGGAAAAGGAAAAAGGGTAAATATATATATACAGATCTAAGTATGCTTACCTAGTCTTCCATGTCCATGAAGCAATATGGAGGGAAAGGAAATTCCTAACTTCCGAGGGAACATCTATCAAACCTCAGGAAGCCGTTAGGAGATTATTATTGGCTGTACAGAAACCTAAAGAGGTGGCAGTCTTACACTGCTGGGGTCATCAGAAAGGAAAGGAAAGGAAAATAGAAGGGAACCGCCAAGCAGATATTGAGGCCAAAAGAGCTGCAAGGCAGAACCCTCCATTAGAAATGCTTATAGAAGGACCCCTAGTATGGGGTAATCCCCTCCGGGAAACCAAGCCCCAATACTCAGCAGGAGAAATAGAATGGGTAACCTCATGAAGACATAGTTTTCTCCCCTCGGGATGGCTAGCCACCAAAAAAGGAAAATTACATTTGCCTGCAGCTAACCAATGGGAATTACTTAAAACCCTTCACCAAACCTTTCACTTAGGTATTGATAGCACCCATCAGATGGCCAAATTATTATTTACTGGACCAGGCCTTTTCAAAACTATCAAGCAGATAGTCAGGGCCTGTGAAGTGTGTCAAAGGCACTGCAGGCCATACATTTCAATCCCTGTATCTTTAACCTCCTTGTTAAGTGTGTCTCTTCCAGAATTGAAGCTGTAAAACTACAAATCATTCTTCAAATGGAGCCCCAGATGCAGTCCATGGCTAAGATCTACTGCAGACCCTTGGACCAGCCTGCTAGCTCATGCTCCAATGTTAATGACATTGAAGGCACCTCTCCCGAGGAAATCTCAACTGCACCACCCCTACTACACCCCAATTCAGCAGGAAGCAGCTAGAGCAGTCGTCGGCCAACCTCCCCAACAGCACTTGGGTTTTCATGTTGAGATGGGGGACTTAGAGACAGGACTAGCTGGATTTCCTAGCTGACTAAGAATCCCTAAGCCTACCTGGGAAGGTGACCACTTCCACCTTTAAACACGGGGCTTGCAACTTAGCTCACACATGACCAATCAGATAGTAAGGAGAGCTCACTAAAATGCTAATTAGGCAAAACAGGAGGTAAAGAAATAGCCAATCATCTGCTGCCTGAAAGCACAGTGGGAGGGACAATGATTGGGATATAAACCCAGGCATTTGAGCCAGCAATGGCAACCCCCTTTGGGTCCCCTCCCTTTGTATGGGAGCTCTGTTTCAGCCTATTAAATCTTGCAACTGCACAAAAAAAAAAAAGAAAAAAGAAAGAAAACCAAAATTAGTAGAACAAAAGAAATAATAAAGATCAGAGCAGAAATAAATGAAATTTAAATGAAGAAAACAAAACAAAATGTCAATGCAACAAAAAGTTGTTTCTTTGAGAAATTAAACAAAATTGACAAGTTTTTAGCCAGACTAAGAAAAAAAAGAAGTTTCAAATAAATAAAAACAAAAATAAAAAAGGAAGCAATACAACTGATACTGCAGAAATTCAAAGAATAATTAGTGGTTACTATGAGCAACTATATGCCAATAAATTGGAAAATCTAGAAGAAATGGACAAATCCTTAGACATATATGACCTATTGAGATTGAACCAGGAAGAAATCCAAAACCTGAACATGCAATGACCAGTACCAAGATCAAACCTGTAATAAAAATTATCCCAATAAGGAAAACCCCAAGACTTGATGGCTTCACTGCTGAATTTTACCAAACATTTAACAAAGAACTAATACCAACCCTACTCAAACTATTCCAAAAAATAAAGGAGAAGAGAATACTTCCAAACTCATTCTATGAAGCCAGTATTACCCTGATACCAAAATCAGACTAAGACACATCAAAAAAAGAAAACTACAGGCCAATACACCTGATGAATACTGATGCAACAATCCTCAACAAAATACTAGGAAACCACATTCAACAATACAATAGACAGATCATTCACAATGACCAAGTGGGATTTACCTCTGGGATGCAAGGATGGTTCAACATGTGGAAATCAAGCAGTGTGATACATCATATCAACAGAATGAAGGATAAAAACCATATGATCATTTCAGTTGATGCTGAAAAAGTATTTGATAAAATTCAACATCCCTTCATGATAAAAATTCATTAAAAACACTTGAGAATGATGATTTCCAATTTCATCCATGTTCCTACAAAGGACATGAACTCATCATTTTTTATGGCTGCATAGTATTCCATGGTGTATATGTGCCACATTTTCTTAATCCAGTCTATCATCGTTGGACATTTGGGTGCAGCGCACCAGCATGGCACATGTATACATATGTAACTAACCTGCACAATGTGCACATGTACCCTAAATCTTAAAGTATAATAAAAAAAAAGAAAAAAAAACACTTGAGATAGAAGGAACATACCTCAACATAAAAAAAGCTATATGACAGACCTACTACTAGTACCATACTGAGTGGGGAAAACTGAAAGCATTTTCTGTAAGATCATGAACATGACAAGGATGTCCACTATTGCCATTGTTATTCTTCATACTACTAGATGACCTAGCAAGAGCAATCAGGCAAGAGAAAGATATAAAGGCTATCCACATTAGAAAGGAATAAGTCAAAATATCCTTGTGTGCAGATGATATAACCTTATACTAGGAAAAACCTAAAGATTCCACAAGATAATTATTAGAACTGATGAACAAATTCTGTAAAGTTGAAGGATACAAACTCAACATAAAAATCAGTAGTGTTGATATATGCCAACAGTGAACAATGAGAAAAAGAAATTTAAAATGTAATCCCATTTAAAATAGCCATATATAAAATAAAATACCTAGGAATTAATTTAACCAAAGAACTGAAAGATCTCTGTAATGAAAACTATAAAGCACTGAGGAAAGAGTTTTAAGAGATCACAACAAATGGAAAAATATTTCATGTTCATGGATTGGAAAAATCAATATTATTAAAATGTCCATACTATCAAAACAATCCACAGATTCAATAAAATCCCCATCAAATTACAAATGACATTCTTCACAGAAATAGAAAAAAAATCTTTAAAATTGACATGGACCCACAAAAGACCCAGAATAGTCAAAACTATCATAAGCAAAAAAAACAAAACTGGAGGAATCACATTATCTCACTTAAAATTATACTACACAGCTATACTAACAAAAACAGCATGGTACTGACATAAAAACAGACACATAGACCAATGGAACAGAATAGTGAATCCAGAAACAATTTCACACACCTAGAGTGAACTCATTCTTGACAAAGGTGCTGACATGGTTTGGCTGTGTCCCCACCCCAAATCTCATCTTGAATTGTAATAATCCCCACACCCCAAGTACAAGGCCATGTGGGGATAATTGAAACATGGGGTGGTTTCCCCCATACTGTTGTCATGGTAGTGAATAAGTCTTACAAGATCTGATGGTTTTATAAATGGGACTTCCCCTGCAAAGATCTCTGTCTGCCACCATGTAAGATGTGACTTTTCTCCTCATTTGCCTTCCACCATGATTTTGAGGCATCCCCAGCCATGTGGAACTGTGAGTCCATTAAACATCTTCCCTTTATAAATTACCCGGTCTTGTGTATGGCTTTATTAGAAGCATAAGAACAGACTAACACAGGTACCAAGAACGTACACTGGGGGAAAGACCATCTCATCAATAGATTGTGCTGGGAAAATTTAATATCCTACACAGAGGGATGAATCTGGACTCATATATCTTGCCACATACAAAAATCAACTCAAAATGGATTAAAAACTTAAGTATGAGACCTCAAACTGTGAAAATACTATAGGAAAATACTAGAAAACATCTCCAGGACATTGGTCTAGGCAAAAATTTCTTGAGCAATACCCCACAAGCACAGGCATTCAAAGCAAACATGGACAAATGGGATCATATCAAGTTAAAAAGTTTCTGCACAGCAAAAGATACAATCAACAAAGGGAAGAGATAACCTACAGAATGGAGAAAAATATATGCAAACTACTCATCTGACAAGAGATTAATAACCAGAATATATAAGGAACTTAAGTAACTCTATAGAAAAAAATCTAATAATCAAGTCCACAAGTGGGCAAAAGATTTGAATAGACATTTCTCAAAAGAAGACATGTTAATTGTTAACAGACATACAAAAAGGTGGTCAACACCACTGATCATCAGAGAAATGTAAATCAAAACTACAATGAGATGTCACCTCACTCCAGTTAAAATGGCTTATATCCAAAAGACAGGCAATAACAAATGCTAGTGAGGATGTGGAGATAAGTGGACCCTTGTACAACGTTGGTGGGAATGTAAATTAGTATGACCACTATGGAGAGCTGTTTGAATGTTCCTCAAAAAACTAAAAATATATATTGTAAGTTTTTTAAAAAACTAAAAATAAAACTACCAACAACCCTACTACTGGGTATATACCCAAAAGAAAGGAAATAACTATATCAAAGAGACATCTGCACTCTTGTGTTTGTTGCAGCACTGTTTACAATGGCTAAGACTTTGAAACAACCTAAATATCCATCAACAGACAAATGTATAAAGAAAATGTAGTACATATACACAATGGAGTTCTATTCAGCCATAAAAAAAGAATGAGATTCAGTCATTTGCAACAACATGAATGAAATTGGAGAGCATTATGTTAAGTGAAATAAGCCAGGTACAGAAAAACAAACATAGCATGTTCTCACTTATTTGTGGGATCTAAAATAAAAAGAATTTAACTAATGGACATAAAGTGTAGAAGGATGGCTACCAGATACTTGAAAGGGAAGTGGGGGGTGAGAAGGGAAGTAGGGATGAATAAGACCTACTATTTGATAGCACAACAGTGTGACTATGGTCAATAATAACTTAATTGTATATTTTAAAATAACTGAAAGAGTGTAATTGAATTGTTTGTAACTCAATAAATGCTTGAGGGCACAGATACCCCATTCTCCATGACATGCTTATTTCACATTGCATGCCTGTATCAAAACATCTCCTGTACCCCACAAACATATTAATATATACCTACTCTGTACCCATAAATATAAAAAATAAAAAAGGAAAAAAGATAAATCTGTATGTACATATACGTTAGTATATATAAGTAATATAAATAAAAATAATGAAATGTGGGGAGGAGCAAAGATGGCTGAATAGGAACAGCTCTGGTCTACAGCTCCCAGCATGAGTGACGCAGAAGATGGGTGATTTCTGCATTTCCATCTGAGGTACCCGGTTCATCTCACTAGGGAGTGCCAGACAGTGGGCGCAGGTCAGTGGGTGCGTGCACCCTGCGGGAGCCGAAGCAGGGCGAGGCATTGCCTCACTTGGGAAGTGCAAGGGGTCAGGGAGTTCCCTTTCTGAGTCAAAGAAAGGGGTGACAGACGGCACCTGGAAAATCGGGTCACTCCCACCCGAATACTGCGCTTTTCCGATGGGCTTAAAAAACGGTGCACCACGAGATTATATCCCGCACCTGGCTCGGAGGGTCCTACGCCCACGGAGTCTCACTAATTGCTAGCACAGCAGTCTGAGATCAAACTGCAAGGTGGCAGCAAGGCTGGGGGAGGGGCGCCCGCCATTGCCCATGCTTGATTACGTAAACAAAGCAGCCAGGAAGCTGGAACTGGGTGGAGCCCACCACAGCTCAAGGAGGCCTGCCTGCCTCTGTAGGCTCCACCTCTGGGGGCAGGGCACAGACAAACAAAAAGACAGCAGTAACCTCTGCAGACTTAAATGTCCCTGTCTGACAGCTTTGAAGAGAGCAGTGGTTCTCCCAGCATGCAGCTGGAGATCTGAGAATGCGCAGACTGCCTCCTCAAGTGGGTCCCTGACCCCTGACCCCTGAGCAGCCTAACTGGGAGGCAATCCCCAGCAGGGGCACACTGACACCTCACACGGCAGGTTATTCCAACAGACCTGCAGCTGAGGGTCCTGTCTGTTAGAAGGAAAACTAACAAACAGAAAGGACATCCACACCAAAAACCCATCTGCACATCACCATCATCAAAGACCAAAAGTAGATAAAACCACAAAGATGGGGAAAAAACAGAACAGAAAAACTGGAAACTCTAAAAAGCAGAGCGCCTCTCCTCCTCCAAAGGAACGTAGTTCCTCACCAGCAACGGAACAAAGCTGGATGGAGAATGACTTTGATGAGCTGAGAGAAGAAGGCTTCAGACGATCAAATTACTCTGAGCTATGGAAGGACATTCAAACCAAAGGCAAAGAAGTTGAAAACTTTGAAAAAAATTTAGAAGAAGGTATAACTAGAATAACCAATACAGAGAAGTGCTTAAAGGAGCTTATGGAGCTGAAAACCAAGGCTCGAGAACTACGTGAAGAATGCAGAAGTCTCAGGAGCCAATGCGATCAACTGGAAGAAAGGGTATCAGCAATGGAAGATGAAATGTAGCGAGAAGGGAAGTTTAGAGTAAAAAGAATAAAAAGAAATGAGCAAAGCCTCCAAGAAATATGGGACTATGTGAAAAGACCAAATCTACTTCGGATTGGTGTACCTGAAAGTGATGGGGAGAATGGAAACAAGTTGGAAAACACTCTGCAGGATATTATCCAGGAGAACTTCCCCAATCTAGCACGGCAGGCCAACGTTCAGATTCAGGAAATACAGAGAACGCCACAAAGATACTCCTCAAGAAGAGCAACTCCAAGACACATAATTGTCAGTTTCACCAAAGTTGAAATGAAGGAAAAAATGTTAAGGGCAGCCAGAGAGAAAGGTCGGGTTACCCTCAAAGGGAAGCCCATCTGACTAACAGCAGATCTCTCGGCAGAAACTCTACAAGCCAGAAGAGAGTGGGGGCCAATATTCAACATTCTTAAAGAAAAGAATTTTCAACCCAGAATTTCATATCCAGCCAAACTAAGCTTCATAAGTGAAGGAGAAATAAAATCCTTTACAGACAAGCAAATGCTGAGAGATTTTGTCACCACCAGGCCTGCCTTACAAGAACTCCTGAAGGAAGCACTAATCATGGAAAGGAACAACCGGTACCAGCCGCTGCAAAATCATGCCAAAATGTAAAGACCATCGAGTCTAGGAAGAAACTGCATCAACTAACGAGCAAAATAACCAGCTAACATCATAATGACAGGATCAAATTCACACATAACAATATTAACTTTAAATGTAAATGGACTAAATGCTCCAATTAAAAGACACAGACTTGCAAATTGGATAAAGAGTCAAGACCCATCAGTGTGCTGTATTCAGGAAACCCATCTCACGTGCAGAGACACACATAGGCTCAAAATAAAAGGATGGAGGAAGATCTACCAAGCCAATGGAAAACAAAAAAAGGCAGGGGTTGCAATCCTAGTCTCTGATAAAACAGACTTTAAACCAACAAAGATCAAAAGAGACAAAGAAGGCCATTACATAATGGTAAAGGGATCAATTCAACAAGAAGAGCTAACTATGCTAAATATATATGCACCCAATACAGGAGCACCAAGATTCATAAAGCAAATCCTGAGTGACCTACAAAGAGACTTAGACTCCCACACATTAATAATGGGAGACTTTAACACCCCACTGTCAACATTAGACAGATCAACGAGACAGAAAGTCAACAAGGATACCCAGGAATTGAACTCAGGTCTGCACCAAGCGGACCTAATAGGCATCTACAGAACTCTCCACCCCAAATCAACAGAATATACATTTTTTCAGCACCACACCACACCTATTCCAAAATTGACCACATAGTTGGAAGTAAAGCTCTCCTCAGCAAATGTAAAAGAACAGAAATTATGGCAAACTGTCTCTCAGACCACAGTGCAATCAAACTAGAACTCGGGATTAAGAAACTCACTCAAAACCGCTCAACTACATGGAAACTGAACAACCTGCTCCTGAATGACTACTGGGTACATAACGAAATGAAGGCAGAAATAAAGATGTTCTTTGAAACCAACAAGAACAAAGACACAACATACCAGAATCTCTGGGATGCATTCAAAACAGTGTGTAGAGGGAAATTTATGGCACTAAATGCCCACAAGAGAAGGCAGGAAAGATCCAAAATAGACACCCTAACATCACAATTAAAAGAACTAGAAAAGCAAGAGCAAACACATTCAAATGCTAGCAGAAGGCAACAAATAACTAAAATCAAAGCAGAACTGAAGGAAAGAGACACACAAAAGACCCTTCAAAAAATTAATGAATCCAGGAGCTGGTTTTTTTGAAAGGATCAACAAAATTGATAGACCACTAGCAAGACTAATAAAGAAAAAGAGAGAGAAGAATCAAATAGACGCAATAAAAAACGATAAAGGGGATATCACCACCGATCCCACAGAAATACAAACTACCATCAGAGAATACTACAAACACCTCTATGCAAATAAACTAGAAAATCTAGAAGAAATGGATACATTCCTCGACACATACACTCTCCCAAGACTAAACCAGGAAGAAGTTGAATCTCTGAATAGACCAATAACAGGAGCTGAAATTGTGGCAATAATCAATAGCTTACCAACCAAAAAGAGTCCAGGACCAGACGGATTCACAGCCGAATTCTACCAGAGGTACAAGGAGGAACTGGTACCATTCCTTCTAAAACTATTCCAATCAATAGAAAAAGAGGGAATCCTCCCTAACTCATTTTATGAGGCCAGCATCATTCTGATACCAAAGCCGGGCAGAGACACAACCAAAAAAGAGAATTTTAGACCAATATCCTTGATGAACATTCATGCAAAAATCCTCAATAAAATACTGGCAAACCGAATCCAGCAGCACATCAAAAAGCTTATCCACCATGATCGAGTGGGCTTCATCCCTGGGATGCAAGGCTGGTTCAATATACGCAAATCAATAAATGTAATCCAGCATATAAACAGAACCAAAGACAAAAACCACATGATTATCTCAATACTACATGCAGAAAAGGCCTTTGACAAAATTCAACAGCCCTTCATGCTAAAAACTCTCAATAAATTAGGTATTGATGGGATGTATTTCAAAATAATAAGAGCTATCTATGACAAACCCACAGCCAACATCATACTGAATGGGCAAAAACTGGAAGCATTCCCTTTGAAAACTGGCACAAGACAGGGATGCCTTCTCTTGCCACTCCTATTCAACATAGTGTTGGAAGTTCTGGCCAGGGCAATTAGGCAGGAGAAGGAAATAAAGGGGATTCAATTAGGAAAAGAGGAAGTCAAATTGTCTCTGTTTACAGATGACATGATTGTATATCTAGAAAACCCCATCATCTCAGCCCAAAATCTCCTTAAGCTGATAAACAACTTCAGCAAAGTCTCAGGATACAAAATCAATGTACAAAAATCACAAGCATTCTTATACACCAACAATAGACAAACAGAGTGCCAAATCATGAGTGAACTACCATTCACAATTGCTTCAAAGAGAATAAAATACCTAGGAATCCAACTTACAAGGGATGTGAAGGACCTCTTCAAGGAGAACTACAAACCACTGATCAAGGAAATAAAAGAGGATACAAACAAATGGAAGAACATTCCATGCTCATGGGTCGGAAGAATCAATATTGTGAAAATGGCCATACTGCCCAAGGTAATTTACAGATTCAATGCCATCCCCATCAAGCTACCAATGACTTTCTTCACAGAATTGGAAAAAACTACTTTAAAGTTCATATGGAACCAAAAAAGAGCCCGCATCACCAAGTCATTCCTAAGCCAAAAGAACAAAGCTGGAGGCATCACACTACCTGACTTCAAACTATACTACAAGGCTACAGTAACCAAAACAGCATGGTACTGGTACCAAAACAGAGATATAGATCAATGGAACAGAACAGAGCCCTCAGAAATAACGCCACATATCTACAACTATCTGATCTTTGACAAACCTGAGAAAAACAAGCAATGGAGAAAGGATTCCCTATTTAATAAATGGTGCTGGGAAAGCTGGCTAGCCATATGTAGAAAGCTGAAACTGGATCCCTTCCTTACACCTTATACAAAAATCAATTCAAGATGGATTAAAGACTTAAACGTTAGACCTAAAACCATAAAAACCCTAGAAGAAAACCTAGGCATTACCATTCAGGACATAGGCATGGGCAAGGACTTCATGTCTAAAACACCAAAAGCAATGGCAACAAAAGACAAAATTGACAAATGGGATCTAATTAAACTAAAGAGCTTCTGCACAGCAAAAGAAACTACCATCAGAGTGAACAGGCAACCTACAAAATGGGAGAAAATTTTCACAACCTACTCATCTGACAAAGGGCTAATATCCAGAATCTACAATGAACTCAAACAAATTTACAAGAAAAAAACAAACAACCCCATCAAAAAGTGGGCAAAGGACATGAACAGACACTTCTCAAAAGAAGACATTTATGCAGTCAAAAAACACATGAAAAAATGCTCATCATCACTGGCCATCAGAGAAATGCAAATCAAAACCACAATGAGATACCATCTCACACCAGTTAGAATGGTGATCATTAAAAAGTCAGGAAACAACAGGTGCTGGAGAGGATGTGGAGAAATAGGAACACTTTTACACTGTTGGTGGGACTGTAAACTAGTTCAACCATTGTGGAAGTCAGTGTGGCGATTCCTCAGGGATCTAGAACTGGAAATACCATTTGACCCAGCCATCCCATTACTGAGTATATACCCAAAGGACTATAAATCATGCTGCTATAAAGACACATGCACACGTATGTTTATTGCGGCATTATTCACAATAGCAAAGACTTGGAACCAACCCAAATGTCCAACAATGATAGACTGGATTAAGAAAATGTGGCACATATACACCATGGAATACTATGCAGCCATAAAAAATGATGAGTTCATGTCCTTTGTAGGGACATGGATGAAATTGGAAATCATCATTCTCAGTAAACTATCACAAGAACAGAAAACCAAACACTGCATATTCTCACTCATAGGTGGGAATTGAACAATGAGATCACATTGACACAGGAAGGGGAATATCACACTCTGGGGACTGATGTGGGGTGGGGGGAGGGGGGAGGGATAGCATCGGGAGATATACCTAATGCTAGATGACGAGTTAGTGGGTGCCGTGCACCAGCATGGCACATGTGTACATATGTAACTAACCTGCACAATGTGCACATGTACCCTAAAACTTAAAGTATAATTAAAAAAATGAAATGTTTGAAAACATAAAGTAAGCATAAATTTAGTCATGAAATTACTGTCTTGGAAAAAAACAGGAATTAATTTTACATCAAAATAACACGTTTAAACATTAAGTTATGCTAACAGATTTACGCATATATATAACTGTGTATTTGTGCAGCTGTGCTTGTGTGTGTGAGAGTCTGCAATTTGCAATGGTATTCTCTTCATTCTCACACTTTCCAAATCTACCATTTTGAACATTCTAGCAGCTTCTTCTGAAAATACATTCACGTTTCTAAATAAAGACCTTGTTTCTATTTCTTACTTATCTTTTTGTAGATTATATTTAATAATTTTTTATTATGAGATGAAAATTTTAATCTCCATGTTCACCTCATATTTGAACACACCCTCAGATAGACACACTAATTTTTCCACACTGCTTTTTCCAGAATATATTTAGATGACAATTTTTATGATATCAGTATTCATTGCTTATATCATTCTGACTACATAAATATGGTTCTCTGGTAAGACAGCTATGATTATATTTTATTTTTAGCACTTTCTTAAACTTAACCACATCTCTTTATTTCTATTTGTAATTTTCTGTTTCCCAAGTTAGAAATACTTACAAATGTTCAGGCAGATGTTTGAAACTCCTTTTTAGTTATTGGAAACTCTCATAAAATCTGTCACATCTCTTGTTCTTGCTGTCTCATCTCACTTCTGAATTATCCACCAGGTTCATTCTGAAGTAGTTGTTTTCTAGGCCTGGTGCAAGGCAGCCTCCCTGACACTCTCATTGTCCTATATGAGGTCTGATTGCTGGAGCTCAGGACTTTCTATAACTAGGCTTCAGGCATTTGAATTAAGCACATTCTCCAATATTTTTCTGAGAAAGGGACAATAGAAGGTAAAATTTTGGCAAATGTGCAAGTCTGAAAACACACTATTTCTATTAATATGCTAAATAATATTAATAGTTCCTCTTGAGAATTCTGAATCCTAATTCTTTCAATATGACCTGGTATAGCTCTGAAAGTTTTTGTGATTTTCCCTTTAATTCTGGTGTCCTGAAATTCCATGACCCTGTGTCTAGCAGAGTATGTTTTCATTTCATTCACTCTGTTAGACATTGAAGATAATTTTCTGTTAAGATGGCAAAAGAAAAATGTCATTTCTCTAGATCAGTTCCCTTTCTGTAGGATAACGCTAGCTGCTGAATTTTAGGAAGCAAGATGAATAAAAGAGCTTTAAGTCTCTGAATTGAAGGTGTGGACCCTTACCAAATCTGCCTTTCTAGCCTACACCTCATGTCTTTTCTGGCACTGCCCTTTGTCCCTGAGTATGGGGCTTCTTAAACTCAGTTTCTCTAGAGAGTAAGCCTCCTTTTTCTTGTGGGAGAAAATTAGTTACTTGATGAAAAGAGTTGTGTAGGAAACCTAGGCAGAGAGAGCCTCGTTTTTCAACCTCATTCTCTACCATATTTGACCCTTGGCACTTCCAAATACTAATATTGAGGGGACTTAAGGGACACTGATTAATTTTTCTCCTTGATAAATTTTCCTCTTCTGACTTTTTGGTTACAAGTTTATCCTCTCTGTACTGATTTATTATTCCTCCATTTGCTCTCTGTGTTTTAGAAATTTGTTAAAGCTTTATTGACTATTGCCTGTACTCTACATAGCTTAAAGGGCTCAAACAGCTAATATCCCAAATCTATAAAAAACTAAAACAAATTAACAAGCAAAAAACAAAAAAAAAATTAGAAATGGTGAAAGGACATGAACAGACACTTCTCAAAAGATGACATACAAGCAGCCAACAAACATATGAAAAAATGTTCAACATCACTAATCATCAGAGAAATCCAAATCAAAATCACAAGGAGGTACCATCTCACACCAGTCAGAATGGCAATTATTAATATTAAAAAGTCCAAAAACAAGAGATGCTGGTGAGGTTGCAGACAAAAGAAAATGCTTTTACACTGCTGGTGGGTATGCAAACTAGTTCAGTCACTGTGGAAAGCAGTTTGGATATTTCTGAAAGAAATTAAAATAGAACTTTAGTTGACCCAGCAATCCAACTATTGAGTATATGCCCCCCCAAAAAAATTCATTCTATCAAAAAGACACACACACCAATATGTTCACTGTAGTGCTATTCACAATAGCAAAAAAATGGAATCAACTTAAGTGCCCATCAACAGTAGACTGTATAAGGAAAATGTGGTAAATATACACTGATATGTTTAGACTGTGTCCCCACTCAAATCTCATCTTGGACTTTGGCTCCCATAATTCCCACATGTCATGGGAGGGACTCAATGGGACATAATTTAATCATGGGGGCAGGGTGTTCCCATGCTGTTCTTGTGATAGTAAATAAGTCTTGCTATCAGAGACTTATTGTGAGGCCTTTCCAGTCATGTGGAATTGACAGTCCATTAAACCTCTTTCCTTTATGAATTACCCAGCCTCAGGTATGTCTTTATTAGCAGCATGAGAACAGACTAGTATATACACCATGGAATACTATGCAGCCATAAAAAAGAACAAAAATCATGTCTTTTGCAGCACTATAGATGAAGCAGGAGGCCATTATCCTAAGCAATCTAATACAAGAACAGAAAACCAAATACCACCTGTTCTCACTTATAAATGGGAAGTAAACATTGAATACACATGAACCTAAAGATGGGAACAATAGACACTGAGGATCACTATATAGGGGAGGGAGAGAAGGGATGTGGGTTGGAGAACCATCTGTTGGGTACTATGCTTACTGCCAGGGTGATGAAATAGTTGGGACCCCGAGACTCAGTGTTACACAATTTACCCATGTAACAAATCTGTATTTTTACCCTTTAATCTATAAAAAAAAGTTGAAAAAATCTTCTAGAACGTTATAGGTTAGTAATTGTTCAAAAAAAGGCCTAACTCTTATTTGTAATTAGGTTATTGTCATTAAATGGGGGATACTGACACAGGGGAAAAAAGAATATTTATTATCTGCAGCATAACCGAAAGTCTTTAAAATTTCTAAAGTAAAGTTGTTCATAAAAGATAAAATTATTGGCCCCCCCAAAAATATTCTTATTTTATCCAACACCAATTTCACAGAAACTGTCTCAGGTACATCTTCTGCCTAAATGGAACATTCTTTAGGTACCTCTTTTAGTAAACAGAATCAACTTTCTCATGAATCTAACTTTTTAGAATACTTATCAGACTAGGAATTTTTTCAGGCAGCCTCACTACATTTCTAGGATTACCATTTATCCTTCAATAAGAAGAGTTTCCATTTTCCCTACTCCAGCATTTGAACCTGAAGTTTTGAGAATGAGAAAAATTATCTTTAACAATACACTTGCTGTTCAAAATGGCCTTTTAATAATAAAACCAACATGCAATCCCAGGCCAACTTATGTTGTCTCTTCCTGCCATAAGTCACTGTCGATGAAATCCAGACACACTGGGCCAGAGCTCTATTGCTTTTGAAACTGCCATGCTGTCTTCATTTCTCTCAGTTATCTTCCTCTACTGTGCAAAGATGTCCTTTTTTTCTTTTCTTTTCTTTTCCTTTTTTTTCTTTTCTGAGACAGGGTCCCACTCTGTCACCCAGGCTAGAGTGCAATGGCACAATCTTGGCTCACTGCAACCTCCACCACCCGGGTTCAAGCGATTCCCATGCCTCAGCCCCCAAGTAGCTGGGATTACAGTGGTGTGCCACAATGCCCGGCTACGTTTTGTATTTTTAGTAGAGATGGGGCTTGGCCATATTGGCCAGGCTGGTCTTGAACTCCTAGCCTCAATGGTCCACCCACCTAGGCCTCCCAAAGGGCTGGGATTACAATCATGAGCCACTGCACCAGGCCAGGATATTCCATTTTAATCACACCATTAAATTGGGACAGATTACAGCTGCGGGCACAGAAATTTAAATAATGGAACTTCTCTAAGAGAAACAGAAAGGAGAACACTAGCAGCACCTTCCCAACATCTTTCCTAAAACTCAATTAACTCATCCTCTGTGATCATACCTGTGACCTCTGGGTGCTTCAGCAGGAGAAGGAGAGCATATCTCAGGGTTGTGCTTGTTGTCTCTGTCCCAGCTCCAAGTAAGTCAGCTGCAGTGATTACCAAGTTTTCAATAGTGAATTCAGACTGTTGGTTTTGCTTTTCCTAGGAATGATTTGATGCAATTATCTGACAAATTATTTAACAGCATATTTGATGACAGTAAATTCAAAATTACTCACATTGTATACTTACCAACATAGAAACTGTAAAGTATAGTACTAGAAAAAAATATTGAATAGGAGCGGTGAGAGAGGGCATCCCTGTCTTGTGCCAGTTTTCAAAGGGAATGCTTCCAGTTTTTGCCCATTCAGTATGATATTGGCTGTGGGTTTGTCATAGATAGCTCTTATTATTTTGAAATACATCCCATCAATACCTAATTTATTGAGAGTTTTTAGCATGAAGGGTTGTTGAATTTTGTCAAGGGCTTTTTCTGCATCTATTGAGATAATGATGTGGTTTTTGTCTTTGGCTCTGTTTATATGCTGGATTACATTTATTGATTTGCATATATTGAACCAGCCTTGCATCCCAGGGATGAAGCCCACTTGATCATGGTGGATAAGCTTTTTGATGTGCTGCTGGATTCGGTTTGCCAGTATTTTATTGAGGATTTTTGCATGAATGTTCATCAAGGATATTGGTCTAAAATTCTCTTTTTTGGTTGTGTCTCTGCCCGGCTTTGGTATCAGAATGATGCTGGCCTCATAAAATGAGTTAGGGAGGATTCCCTCTTTTTCTATTGATTGGAATAGTTTCAGAAGGAATGGTACCAGTTCCTCCTTGTACCTCTGGTAGAATTCGGCTGTGAATCCATCTGGTCCCGGACTCTTTTTGGTTGGTAAACTATTGATTATTGCCACAATTTCAGCTCCTGTTATTGGTCTATTCAGAGATTCAACTTCTTCCTGGTTTAGTCTTGGGAGAGTGTATGTGTCGAGGAATGTATCCATTTCTTCTAGATTTTCTAGTTTATTTGTGTAGAGGTGTTTGTAGTATTCTCTGATGGTAGTTTGTATTTCTGTGGGATCAGTGGTGATATCCCCTTTATCATTTTTTATTGTGTCTATTTGATTCTTCTCTCTTTTTTTCTTTATTAGTCTTGCTAGTGGTCTATCAATTTTGTTGATCCTTTCAAAAAACCAGCTCCTGGATTCATTGATTTTTTGAAGGGTTTTTTGTGTCTCTATTTCCTTCAGTTCTGCTCTGATTTTAGTTATTTCTTGCCTTCTGCTAGCTTTTGAATGTGTTTGCTCTTGCTTTTCTAGTTCTTTTAATTGTGATGTTAGGGTGTCAATTTTGGATCTTTCCTGCTTTCTCTTGTGGGCATTTAGTGCTATAAATTTCCCTCTACACACTGCTTTGAATGCGTCCCAGAGATTCTGGTATGTTGTGTCTTTGTTCTCGTTGGTTTCAAAGAACATCTTTATTTCTGCCTTCATTTCGTTATATACCCAGTAGTCATTCAGGAGCAGGTTGTTCAGTTTCCATGTAGTTGAGCAGTTTTGAGTGAGATTCTTAATCCTGAGTTCTAGTTTGATTGCACTGTGGTCTGAGAGATAGTTTGTTATAATTTCTGTTCTTTTACATTTGCTGAGGAGAGCTTTACTTCCAACTATGTGGTCAATTTTGGAATAGGTGTGGTGTGGTGCTGAAAAAAATGTATATTCTGTTGATTTGGAAGTTCTGGCCAGGGCAATCAGGCAGGAGAAGGAAATAAAGGGGATTCAATTAGGAAAAGAGGAAGTCAAATTGTCCCTGTTTGCAGACGACATGATTGTTTATCTAGAAAACCCCATCGTCTCAGCCCAAAATCTCCTTAAGCTGATAAGCAACTTCAGCAAAGTCTCAGGATACAAAATCAATGTACAAAAATCACAAGCATTCTTATACACCAACAACAGACAAACAGAGAGCCGAATCATGAGTGAACTCCCATTCACAATTGCTTCAAAGAGAATAAAATACCTAGGAATCCAACTTACAAGGGATGTGAAGGACCTCTTCAAGGAGAACTACAAACCACTGCTCAAGGAAATAAAAGAGGATACAAACAAATGGAAGAACATTCCATGCTCATGGGTAGGAAGAATCAATATTGTGAAAATGGCCATACTGCCCAAGGTAATTTACAGATTCAATGCCATCTCCATCAAGCTACCAATGACTTTCTTCACAGAATTGGAGAAAACTACTTTAAAGTTCATATGGAACCAAAAAAGAGCCCGCATCATCAAGTCAATCCTAAGCCAAAAGAACAAAGCTGGAGGCATCACACTACCTGACTTCAAACTATACTACAAGGCTACAGTAACCAAAACAGCATGGTACTGGTACCAAAACAGAGATATAGATCAATGGAACAGAACAGAGCCCTCAGAAATAACGCCGCATACCTACAACTATCTGATCTTTGACAAACCTGAGAAAAACAAGCAATGGGGAAAGGATTCCCTATTTAATAAATGGTGCTGGGAAAACTGGCTAGCCATATGTAGAAAGCTGAAACTGGATCCCTTCCTTACACCTTATACAAAAATCAATTCAAGATGGATTAAAGATTTTTTTTTTTTTTTTTTTTTTTTGAGATGGAGTCTCACTCTGTCGCCCAGGCTGGAGTGCAGTGGCGGGATCTCGGCTCACTGCAAGCTCCGCCTCCCGGGTTCACGCCATTCTCCTGCCTCAGCCTCCCAAGTAGCTGGGACTACAGGTGCCCGCCACTACGCCCGGCTAATTTTTTGTATTTTTAGTAGAGACGGGGTTTCACCGTTTTAGCCAGGATGGTCTCGATCTCCTGACCTCGTGATCCGCCCGCCTCGGCCTCCCAAAGTGCCGGGATTACAGGTGTGAGCCACCGCACCCGGCCAAAGATTTAAACGTTAGACCTAAAACCATAAAAACCCTAGAAGAAAACCTAGGCATTACCATTCAGGACATAGGCATGGGCAAGAACTTCATGTCCAAAACACCAAAAGCAATGGCAACAAAAGACAAAATTGACAAATGGGATCTAATTAAACTAAAGAGCTTCTGCACAGCAAAAGAAACTACCATCAGAGTGAACAGGCAACCTACAACATGGGAGAAAATTTTCGCAACCTACTCATCTGACAAAGGGCTAATATCCAGAATCTACAATGAACTCAAACAAATTTACAAGAAAAAAACAAACAACCCCATCAAAAAGTGGGCAAAGGACATGAACAGACACTTCTCAAAAGAAGACATTTATGCAGCCAAAAAACACATGAAAAAATGCTCATCATCACTGGCCATCAGAGAAATACAAATCAAAACCACAATGAGATATCATCTCACACCAGTTAGAATGGCAATCATTAAAAAGTCAGGAAACAACAGGTGCTGGAGAGGATGTGGAGAAATGGGAACACTTTTACACTGTTGGTGGGACTGTAAACTAGTTCAACCATTGTGGAAGTCAGTGTGGCGATTCCTCAGGGATCTAGAATTAGAAATACCATTTGACCCAGCCATCCCATTACTGGGTATATACCCAAAGGACTATAAATCATGCTGCTATAAAGACACATGCACACGTATGTTTATTGCGGCATTATTCACAATAGCAAAGACTTGGAACCAACCCAAATGTCCAACAATGATAGACTGGATTAAGAAAATGTGGCACATATACACCATGGAATACTATGCAGCCATAAAAAATGATGAGTTCATATCCTTTGTAGGGACATGGATGAAATTGGAAATCATCATTCTCAGTAAACTATCACAAGAACAAAAAACCAAACACCGTATATTCTCACTCATAGGTGGGAATTGAACAATGAGATCACATGGACACATGAAGGGGAATACCACACTCTGGGGACTGATGTGGGGTGGGGGGAGGGGGGAGGGATAGCATTGGGAGATATACCTAAGGCTAGATGACGAGTTAGTGGGTGCAGCGCACCAGGATGGCACATGTATACATATGTAACTAACCTGCACAATGTGCACATGTACCCTAAAACTTAAAGTATAATAAAAAAAAAAAGAAAGAGACTACATTTTCCTTATGTTTTTGTAAAAATTAAAAAAATAAATAAGTAGTACAAAGACTGTTAAACAAAAGAGAATTTAAAACAGCATGGAGTTATAAATAGCCTGCTGTTTGGTATAGTTTGTTAATCTGTTACCACTTATATTTTCTCTAACAGCTCTCTAATTAGCACTCACTTTTGATACTACTGTTCCTAAAATGTTTATGTTGGAAGTTACAAATGACTGTCTAATTATACCGGCTACTTTGTTTTGCATAAACAATAAATAAAATCCCACTTATGCCATAAAAATAAAAAAAATAAAAATAAAAATAAAGAAAAAAAAAAAGAAAGAAAAAATACTGTATGGTGTAGTGGATGCTGTAGACCAACTGGCCCAAACTTTATTTCCTACCCCCTTATTCCATGCTTGCTTAAAAATTCCATTTGTCAGACTCTGCAGTTAGCTGACTCACACAGCATATTTTTTGGCAAAAAAAATATATAAGCAGAAGATCTCTAGATCCACTTCTTCTATTTCCTCTTTCATTCTCAAAACACAAATGAGAAGACATAAAGACATTTTCTGTTAAAGTTACTATTACCTGTAGACAACCACAACTTAAATTAATAAAAATAGGAAAATTAGGGCCATATCATTAGATACTATGAGCCTGAAACAAGAGTCTGCAATTATCTTCTTCTGTCAGAAAGGTACATGGACTCAATATTGCCTGCAGATTCATTATAAAGTTGAAATTGTATAAAAACAGATATGAAAAAAGCAACATGACAGTAAAACCTAGAATAAATTATAGAGAAAGAGAATGAGTTTACAATGACAAGATGGGCCCACAGTATTGTAATCTATATGGGAGGCAACAGACAACTTTTTCTAGAATGCAAGTAGTGCAGGAATAAATAAAAATATACAAAGTGAAGAGAAAGGAGAATGATGAAGATGGAGAATAAGGACATTAATTGCCCACAGGGAATAAAAGAGAGAGTAAGGGTAAGGCATATGCCAAGACTCAGAGACTGGAGTTCTCAAAATTTGGAAGTTCAGAGAGTGGAAGCAATGGATGAGGAATACTTAGTTTGAATTAGGGCTGGGGTGTTGATGTGATGCAGAATTGACAACAATAAGGGGAAAGTTTTGAATACTGAGTACAAGAGATCATCAATATACAAAAACATATTACTTTCTAACAAGTCCCTAGGCCAGCAATAAATTAATTATGCTTTTAGAGTCTCCAAGTGACCTGTGTCATGTTAAACATTGTGTAGTTAACACCACTGAAATAGACTAGATTCTCTCAACATGTGTAGACAAAGACAGTCCTCTCCCTTGGTAACATCAGCTTCACACAGTTTTCTAAGCTTGCCATGTTGAAAATTACTCTTAAGTAAGAAGAACAGTGCAGTCACAAACCAGTATTAACATTTCCATCTCTTGACTTGAGCTTGGTTACTTAGCATTAATAAGGTAGTATATCCTATCTTATTAATGATAGTAGCCATATTCTACTTGCTGGGCTCAAATCTAAAGAGCACCCCTTCTACATCAGAGGCAGGCCACGGCATTTTCCTGCACCTCACCCTCAGAAACAGATTCACAGCCACAACTCAGTCTGTGGGCTTCAGCTGCTAAGGTGTGCTAGAGTCATAGACCTTGGTTCTGTGGGTAATCTACATTCAACACTGCCACAGAGAGTGAACCTGCACCGCAAGACCCAGGTGTCACAATACATGATTAAAAGACCCTGAGTCTAGAATGATGCTTCTATGACAACTTCAAGGATCTGTACTTGTAACCCAGCACCAATGCCGCTGAGTTAATGCCATGTCAGAGATGACACCAAAAGGAATCCCTTAGGCTAAGTCACCCCAATTTTAGGAAAATAAAAATAGGAGGACGCCCAAATACTTTGACACTAAGGACATTAACAACCTACACTGCTCCTGATACTGCTGCAAACTTCTACAACCTAGGCCACTGAGGCACCCAAAATTATTGCTGATATTGGCCATAGCTAGAGAAACTACACAGATACTATCACAATGCATCTATCAAAAACTGAGTTACCCACTCTTCGTCACCTGCACACAAACACTCAACTTCAGATAAAAGTCTTTCTCTATGAAATTCACTCTAGAGATTTTGGAATAGCAATTGTTCCATCACATGCATAGACATAAATTCAGGGACACAACATGAAAAATAAAGAAATATGGCACCACCAAAGGGACATAATAACTCTCAAATAACAGACCTCAATGAAAAAAATTCACAAATATTCAAAAAAGGAATTCAAAATAATTACCTTAAAGAAACTCAATCAGGAGGGTGGCTGGCAAGATGACTGAATAAGAAAAGCTCCAGTCAGCAGCTCCCAGCGAGATCAATGAAGAAGGTAGGTGATTTCTGCATTTCCAACTGAGGTACCTGGCTCATCTCACTGGGAATGTTTAGACAGTAGGTGCAGTGCATGGAGGCTAAACTGAAGCAGGGAGGAATGTTGTCTCACCTTGGAAGCCCAAGGGATTGGTGAACTCCCTCCCATAGCCAAGGAAAGCCTTGAGGGAATGTGCTGTGAAGAACGGTGCACTCTGGCCCAAATACTGCAGTTTTTCCATGGTCTTCACAACCCACAGACCAGAAGATTCCCTTCAGAGCCTACACCACCAGGGCCCTGGGTTTCAAGCACAAAACTGGGTGGTCATCTGGGCAGACACCAAGATAGCTGGAGGGGTTTTTTTTATGCCCCAGTGGTGCTGTAACACCAGCAAGTCAGAACCATTCAGTCCCCTGGAAAGAGGACTGAAGCCAGGGAGCCAAGAGATCTAGCTCAGGGGATCTCACCCCCATGGAGCCCAGCAAGCTAAGATCCACTGGCTTGAACTTCTGTTTGCCAGCACAGCAGTCTGAAGTTGACTGGGGATGTTCGAGCTTGGGGGGGGTGTTGAGGGGAGTCTGCCATTGTTGAGGCTTGAGTAGGTGGTTTTCCCCTCACAGTGTAAACAAAGCCTCCAGGAAGCTAGGACTAGGTGGAGTCCACTTCAGCTCCGCAAAGCCACTGTAGCCATACTGCCCCTCTAGATTCCTACTCTCTGAGCAGTTGCATCTGTGAAAGACAGGCAACAGTCCCAGTCAGGGGCTTATAGATAAAACTCCCATCTCACTGTACTGAGAACCTGGAAGAAGGGGTGGCAGTGGGTGCAGCTTCGGCAGACTTAAATGTTCCTGCCTGCTGGCTCTAAAGAGAACAGCAGACCTCCCAGCAGGGGTCAACAGACACCTCATACAAAAGAGCTTTGGCTGGTATCTGGCAAGTGTCCCTCTAGGACGAAGCTTCCAGAGGAATAAACACACAGCAATCTTTGCTGTTCTGTGGCCTCCTCTGGTGATACCCAGTCAAACAAGGTTTGGAGTGGACCTCAAGCAAACTCCAGCAGACCTGCAGCAGAAGGGCCTGACTGTTAGGAAAAAAACTAGCAAACAGAAAGGAATAGCATCAACATCAACAAAAAGGATGTCCACGCAAAAAACCCATTCAAAGGTCACCAACATCAAAGACAAGAGGTAGATAAATCCACAAATATGAGAAAAAAAAAACAGCACAAAAAGGCTGAAAATTTCAAAAACCAGAACATCTCTTCTCCTCCAAAGGATCACAACTCCTTGCCAGCAAGGGGACAAAACTGGACAGAGAAAGAATTTGATGAATTGACAGAAGTAGGCTTCAGAAGGTGTGTAATAACAAACTCCACTGAGCTAAAGGAGCATGTTCTAACCCATTGCAAAGAAGCTAAGAACCTTGAAAAAATGTTAGACGAATTGCTAACTAGAGAAGAACATGAGTGACCTGATGGAGCTGAAGAACACAGAATGAGAACTTTGTGAAGCATAAATAAATATCAATAGCCAAATTGATAAAGCAGAAGAAAGGATATCAGAGATTCAAGATCAACTTAATGAAATAAAATGTGAAGAAAAAAGTTAAAAAATAAGAATAAAAAGAAATGAACATAGCCTCCAAGAAATGTGGTGCTATGTGAAAAGACCAAATCTACGTTTGATTGGTGTACCTGAAAGTGATGGGGAGAATGGAACCAAGTTGTAAAACATTCTTCAGGATATTATCCAGGAGAACTTCCACAATCTAGCAAGACAGACCAACATTCAAATTCAGGAAATACAGAAAACACCCACAATGATACTCCTCAAGAAGGGCAACCCCAAGACACATAATTGTCAGATTCACCAAGGTTAAAAGAAAGGAAAAATGTTAAGGGAAGCCAGAAAGAAAGGTCGGGTTACCACCAAGGGAAGCCTGTCAGACTAACAGCATATCTCTCTGGAGAAGCTCGACAAGCCAGAGGAGAGTGGGGGCCAATATTCAACATTCTTAAAGAAAAGAATTTTCAACCCAGAATTTCATATCCAGCTAAATTAAGCTTCATAGGCAAAGGAGAAATAACATCCTTTACAGACAAGCAAATGCTGAGGGATTTTGTCATCACCAAGCCTGCCTTACAAGAGCTCCTGAAGGAAACACTAAATATGGAAAGGATCAACTGGGAACAGCCACTGCAAAAACATACTAAATTTTGTAAAGACCATCAACACTATAAAAAAACTGCATCAACTAAAAGGCAAAATAATCAGCTAGCATCATAATGGCAGGATTAAATCCACACACAATATTAACCTTAAATGTAAACAGGCTAAATGCCCCAATTAAAAGACACAGACTGGCAAATTGGATAGAGTCAAGACCCATCAATGTGCTGTATTCAGGAGACCTATCTCACGTGAAAAGACACACATAGGCTCAAAATAAAGGGATGGAGGAATATTTACCAAGCAAATGGAAAGCAAAACAAAGCAGGGGTTGCAATCCTAGTCTCTGATAAAACACACTTTAAACCAACAAAGATTAAAAAAAGGGGTGGTATCATATAATGTTAAGGGGATCAATGCAACGAGAAGAGCTAACTATCCTAAATAGATACACACCCAATACAGGAGCACCCAGATTCATAAAGGAAGTTCTTAAAGACCTACAAAGAGGCTTAGGCTCCCACACAATAATAGATGGAGGCTTTAACACCCCACTGTCAATATTAGACAGATCAATGAGACAGAAATTTAACAAGGATCTCCAGGACTTGAACTAAGCTCTGGACCAAGCGGGCATAATAGATATCTAAAGAACTCTCCACCCTAAATCAACAGAATATACATTCTTCTCAGCACCACTTCACACTTATTCTAAAATTGACCACATAATTGGAAGTAAAACACCCATCAGCAAATACAAAAGAACAGAAATTAAAGCAAACAACCTATTAGACCACAGTGCCATCAAATTAAAACTCGGGATTAAGAAACTCACTCAAAACTGCACAACTACATGGAAACTGAACAACCTGCTCTGAATGACTACTGGGTAAATAACAAAATGAAGGCAAAATAAAGATGTTCTTTGAAACCAATGAGAACAAGGACACAGTGTACCAGAATCTCCAAGACACAGCTAAAGCAGTGTTTAGAGGGAAAATTATAGCACTAAATGTCCAGAGGAGAAAGCAGGAAAGATCTAAAATCAACACCCTAACATCACATTTAAAAGAACTAGAAAACCAAGAGCAAACAAATTCAAACCTAGCAGAAGACAAAAAATAACTAATATCAGAGCAGAATTGAAGGAGATAGAGACAGGAAAATCCCTTCAAAATATCAAAGAATACAGGAGTTAATTTTCTGAAAAGATTAACAAAATAGGCTGCTAGCCAGACTAATAAAGAAGAAAAGAAAGAAGAATCAAATAGAGAGAACAAAAAAATGATAAAGGGGATATCACCACTGATCCTACAGAAATACAAACTACCATCAGAGAATACTATAAACACCTCTATGCAAATAAACTAGAAAATCTAGAAGAAATGGATAAATTTCTAGACACATACACCCTCCCAAGACCAAACCAGGAAGAAGTCCAATCCGTGAAGAGACCAATAACAAGTTCTGAAATTGAGGCAGCAAGGAATAGCCCACCAAGCAAAAAAAAGCCCAGGACCTGAAGGATTCACAGCCGAATTCTACCAGAGGTACAAAGAGGAGCTGGTACCATTCCTTCTGAAAGTACTCCAAACAGTAGAAAAAGACAGACTCTTTCCTAACTCATTTTATAAGGGAAGAATCATCCTGATACCAAAACTTGGCAGACATAAAACAAAAAAAAAGAAAATTTCAGGCCAATATCCGTGATGAACATCCATGCGAAAATCCTCAACAAAATACTGGCAAACTGAATCCAGCAGCACTTCAAAAAGCTTATCCACCACGATCAAGTTGGCTTCATCCCTGGGATGCAAGGCTCGTTCAACACATGCAAATCAATAAATGTAGGCCGGGCGACGTGGCTCACGCCTATAATTCCAGCACTTTGGGAGGCTGAGGTGGGTGGATCACAGGGTCAGGAGTTTGAGACCAGCCTGGCCAACATGGTGAAACTCAGTCTCTACTAAAGATACAAAAAATTAGCCAGGCGTGGTGGCAGCCTCTGTAATTCCAGCTATTCAGGGGGCTAAGGCAGGAGAAACACTTGAATCTGAAAGGCAGAAGTTGCAGTGAGCTGAGATAATGCCACTGCACTCCAGCCTGGGTGACAGGGCAAGACTCTGTCTCAAAATAAATAAATAAATAAACAAACACACACAAACATAATCCATCACATAAACATAACCAATGAGAAAAACCACATGACTATCTGAATAGATGCAGAAAAGGCCTTTGACAAAATTCAACTCCCCTTCATGCTAAAAACTCTCAATAAACTAGATTTTGATGGAATGTATCTCAAAATAGTAAGAGGTATTTATGACAAACCACAGCCAAAATTATACTGAATGGGCAAAAATGGAAGCATTCCCTTTGAAAACTGGCACAAGACAAGGATGCCCTCTCTCACCACTTCTATTTAACATAATATTGGAAGTTCTGACCAGGGCAATCAGGCAAGAGAAAGAAATAAAATAAAAGGTATTCAAACAGGAAGAGAGAAAATCAAATTTTGTCTGTTTGCAGATTACATGATTGTAGATTTAGAAAACTCCAACCAAAGTAAAAATGGACAAATGGGATTATATCACGTTAAAAAGTTTCAGCACAGCAAAGGACACAATCAATAAAGTGAAAAGATAACCCACAGATAGGAAGAAAATAATTGAAAACTACCCCTCTAACAGGGGATTAACAACCAGACTATATAAGGAGCTCAAACAACTCTCTAGGAACAAATCTAATAATTTAGTTTTAAAGTGGGCAAAAGATTTGAATAGACGTTTCCCAACAGAAGACATACAAATGGAAAACAGACATATGAAAAAGTGCTCAATATCACTGATCATCTGAGAAGCGCAAATAAAAACTGTAATAAGATATCATCTCACCCCAGTTAAAGTGGCTTATATCCAAGAGATGAGCAATAACATATGCTGGTAAGGATGTGAAGAAAAAGGAACCCTCATATATTTTTTGTGGAAATTTAAATTCATACAATTACTATGGAGCAAGATTTGGAGGTTCCTCATAAAACTAAAAATAAAGTTACCAAATGACCCAGCAATCCCACTGCTAGGTATATCCAAAAGAAAGGAAATCAGTATATTGAAGAGATATCTACACTCCCATGTTTGTTTCAGCACTGTTTATAATAGCTAAGATATGGAAGCAACCTAAGTGTTCATCAATGGATGAGTGGATAAAGAAAACGTGGTACATATACACAACGGAGTACTATACAGCCATTTAAAAAAATGAGATTCGGTCATTTGCAACAACACAGATAGAATTGGAGATTATTATGTTAAGTGAAATAAACCAGGAACAGAAAGACAAACATCACATGTTCTCACTTATTTGTGGGATCTAAAACTCAAAACAATTGAGCCCATGGAGATACAGGGTAGAAAGATGGTTACCAGAGGCTGGGAGGGACAGTGAGTGGGTGAAGGGGAGTGGAAATTCTAATTGGTACAAAAATAGTTATAATTAATGAATAAGTCCTAGTATTTGATAGCACAATAGGGTGACTATAGTCAATAATTAGTCAATCATACATTTTTAAATAACTTAAAGAGTATAATTCGATTGTCTGTAACATAAAGGATAAATGCTTGAGAGGATAGATAAACCATCTTCCATAATGTGATTATTACACATGGCATTTTTATATCAAAAGATCTCATGTACCCATCAAATATATATACCTTCTGTGTACCCAGAAACATTTAAAAACACACAAAAATTACTATAAATCTATAATATCTAAAATAACATTATACTGGCCTAAAAGCAGACACATGGACCCATGGAAGAGAACAGAGAACACAGAAATTATTCCATGCCTTTATAGCAAACATTATTGACAAGGCACCAAGAACATTCACTGATGAAAGAACAGTCTTTTCATTAAATAGCAACAGGAAAACTGGATGTTTATATGCAGAAAAATGAAACAAGATTTTTATCTCTCATTATTTACAAAAATAAACTCAAAACAAATGAAATGATTAATACCTGAAACTATGAAACTACTAGAAGAAAAACAGGAGAAATGCTTCAGAGTATTGGTCTTGGCAATGGATAAAACTTCAAAAGCACAGGCAACTGAAGTAAAAATTAGACAAATGAGATTATAGCAAACTTCTGCAGGGCAAAGAAAACATTCAATAAAGTGGAAAGACAACCTGAAGAATGACAGAAAATATTTGCAATATTTTCATCTGACCAGGATTAATATCCAAAATATACAAGTAACTCAAACAATTCAACAGAAACAAAAAAACAAATACTACAATTAAAATATGGGTAAATAAACTGAACAGGCGTCTCCCAAAAGAGACATACAAGTGGCCAATAGGTATATGGAAAATGCTTATGATTATATCAGCAAGGAAATTCAAATCAAAGCCACAATGAGATATCAGCTCACTCCAGTTAGAATTGCTATCATCAAAAAGACAAAAGACAGCCAACGCTGGTGAGGACGCAGAGAAAGAGAACTCAAAAACTTATTGATAATGTAAATTAGTACTGCCATGATGGAAAACAGTATAAAGAATCCTCGAAGAACTAAAAATAGAACTACCATATAATCCAGCAATCCCATTCTTGGGTATATAACCAGATGAAAAGATACTGTTATATCAAGGAGATAGTTATACTTCCATATTTACTTAAAGCACTATTCACCATAGCCAAGATATGGAATCAACCTAAGTGTCCATCAACAAATGAATGGGTAAAGAAAACGTGGTATGTATACATACACCATGGAAAACTAATTACCAATAAGAAAAGCCCAAAATTCTATCATTCACAACAACATGGTTGAGATTAGAAGACATTATGTTAAGTGAAATAAGCCTGGCATGGAAAGATAAATAACGCATGTTCTTATTCTTATATGGTAGCTAAGAAAGTTAATCTCACAGAAATAGAGAACAGAATGGTAGCTAGTAGAGGTAGAGAAGTAAGGGGGATAGCCAGAAGTTGGTTAACAGATACAAAACTTCAGCTATACAAAAGAGAAAAGTTATAGTATTCTATAGCAGTGTAGGGTGACTATAATTAACAACACTTTATTGTATATTTTCAAATAGCTAGAAGAGCAGATTTTTAATGTTTCAAGCACAAGGGAATGAAAAATACTTGAGGTTATAGATATGCTAATCATCCTGCTTGATCATTACACATTGTATACATATACTGAAATATTACAGTACACCCCATAAATATGTACAATTATTGTGCCCACTAAAATAATAAATTATAAATTTATAATATATCAATAATAATATACTTTTATATATGTTATATAATATAAATTTATGGTAACGTATTTATAATATATTTTTTACTATTATACATTTGCATTATTATAATTTGTAATATTTATAAATTATTAATAAATAAATAATAAGTAAATCTAATAAATAAAGGCTAAGAAAACAAAAGAAAACAACAAGTGAGAATGTGAAGAAATTGGAACCCTCATGTCCTACTGATGGGAATGTAATGTAAAATGGTGCAGCTGTTAAGAAAAACATTAAGACGTTCGAGAATTAGAAATAGAATTACCACATATCCCAGAAATGCCACTTCTGGGTATATACCCAAAAGAATTGAAAGCAGCACATCAAAGAGATATTTATTTACCCATATGCATAATAACATTACTCACAAAGCCAGAGGTGAAAGTAATCCAAGTGCCCATCAACAGAAAAATGGGTAAGCAAATTTGGTTTATACATACAACGGAATATTATTCACCCTTGGAAATGAAGAAAAATCTGACACATGCGAAAACATGAATGAACCCTGAGAACATAACATTAGGCAAAGTGAAATAAACCAGTCACAAAAGGGCAAATATGTAATGATTCCACTTCTATGAGGTACCCAGCATACTCGATTTCATAGAGACATAAAGTAGAATGTTGGTTGCCACGGGACGGTGGAAAGGAGAAATGTACAGTTATCATTTGAGGTGGGGGTGGGGTTCTACAACATTTCTTGTCACATCATCCACGTCTCTGGACACTTCTCTTTGGGCAAGCCATTCCCTTTGACTTCAGATAAATTTCGGAGCAAGTGATAAGGGAATGGGAATTTTAATTGCAGCTAGTCCGCACAGTATCTGGCACATAAGACTGACAAAGACCTCAAAGAATGTGATAGGCCAACTTTATAAGGCCCATCTTGTGTTACTATGGACACACTTCATGGAATTATTAATATGAATTAGTTTGCATAGTTGAGGAAATTATATTACTTTGGTTTTGTTTGTTGACTGCTTTGTTGGTAGAGACAGGGTTTCACCATGTTGCCCAGGCTGGTCTCAAACTCCTGAGCTCATGAAATCTGCCCACCTCAACCTCCCAAAGTGCTGGGATTACAGGCATGATCTACAATGCCCGGCCAAGAGTTACTATTAAATGGGTATAAGGTTTCCATTTTGTAAGATGAAAAGAATTCTGTAGATGTATGGCAGTGATGTTTGCACAACAATGTGAATGTAATCAATGCCAATACACTATACACTTAAAATGATTAATACAGAAACTTTTTTGTGTATTTTGCCACAACATTTTTTACAAAATTTAAAAGATTACACACAATAAACAAGTTAGATTTATCCCAGAAATGCAAGGGTGGTTCAACAAGAAAGTCAACCAGTGCACTACACCATATTAGAATAAAAGAGAAAAACATGTTCATCTCATTAGATGCAGAAAAAAATGACAACTTTCAACACCTATCATAACAAAAATACTCATAAAACTATAAATAAAACTCCCTTACCATAATAAAGCATATTTATGAAAACTGCAAAGCTAAGGCATACTAAATTTTGAAAGGCTAAAGTCTTATAACTTAAAATCAGAAAGAAAAGAAAAAAAACAAGGATGTCCACTTTTACTACTATTAAATATAGTATTGGAAGTTCTAGCCAGAGCAACCATGCAAGAAAATGAAATAAAACACATCCAAATAGGAAAGGAAAAATTCAGATCATGTGTAGTTCAAGATAACATGTTTCTATATATAGAAAAATCTCATACAATACACAAAGAAAACAATAATCAAGAAAATAAAAGACTCTGACACTAAAAACTATTAAACATTGCTAAAGAATAAAGAATACCATATTTTCCAAGATGGCAGATTAGAGGCAATTAGCATGCTTCAGCCACTTGGAAATAGCACAGTACATAAAGATCAACTTTGTAAGCTTAAATTCAAGAAGAAAAATCCACAGAAATCGTGAAAGACATCTAAGATACCTGGGGAGGAAAATGTGGACAAACAGCCTCATGATGGCATTCAGCTGATAAAAGTAAGTACAGACCCGTTATGTGAAAGAGAGCCTCCCCTGGCTACTCACCCTTCAACTGGGGATCTGAGCAACCCAGGTCAAGGGAGAGCACTTTGTTTATTCTAAGCCCTGCAGCTAAGGTGGGGAGAGGCTTGAACATGCTGAGAGGGAAAGACACCAGGAAAAGCTGCACACATTTTCCCATACCTGGGACCAAGAGCAAGATGCTGCTTTTAATATGGGAGCATAAAAAGTCAATCATTCTTTGGCAGCCTGGCATCATGGCCACGCAGATATTTTAGTCTCAGGCCAGAAATCGGAGCAGTTGGTCTGGAGGAAGGTAGGGGCCTCCACAGCCATAATTGTGGAAAGCACCTTAGCAGTGGGTACTGGAATTGGGCCCTCCCACATTACAGACCTGGGATGGAAGGAGAGCTGCTACAGCAGTTCTCCTGGGTGATGACATTTACAGCCAGGACTAGCTTGGTGACCTGGAAATGGTCTGCATGTGTCCTTGCTTGGTGCCTCAGCCTTTCCCCTAAGATTGAGGAGTGGAGCCCTCTCCATTCCATCCTCAAAGCAGAGCTCCAGGCACTCAGAGCATCTACTTGCCTGGACCAGCAGTCCTAGCCACCCCACTCTTCCTTGGTATAGATAATGGTCCAGAAGGACCCTCTGTGCTCCACACCCAGGCAGACTGCTAAGCATTTAGAGCATTTCTCACCTGGATCAGCACCCTGAGCCACCCCACTCTTCCTGTGCCTGTGCATAGATCATGGTGCAAGGGGGCCCTCTCTGCTCCATATCCAGGCAGATCTCAGGGCATTCAAAGCACCTGCTCACCTGGATTGTCAGCCTGAGCCACCCTCCCCTTCCTGTACAGAGATCTGGCCGCAGGGGAGCTCTCTCTCCTTCACACTCAGACAGATCATGAGGCATTCAAAGCATCCACTCACCTGGATTAGAAGTTTAGGCCACCACCAACTCTCCCCTCCCTTACCCCTGCAGAGTACTTGGAGCCAAAGAGGTTTCTTAGCTCCATGGCTAGCACAACCCTGGGGGCTTCAAGTCTGCCCACTGGATTATTTCTCAGTGCTGGTGCTAGTGCCTGTCATTAGGGAAACTAGATAAGACTGCCCAGTCCAGTGCCACCCATCTTGATTCCCCTGGGGCTGAGCAGGGAGCCCAGACCACTCTGCATTCCACAGATGAACAGATTGCCTGAGGAAACAAAGAAGATCCCCCAGAAAACAAGGATCAAGCTGTGCTAGAGAAACTTGTGCTAGCTGCAGCTGGCTTTTGCTCACAAGTCCCATCTACTGACATGTATGTCAAACTGCACAGGCCGATATAAAACTACCCACAGAAGTAAACACAGCTATGGAATTAAAGTCAAAGACCCTACCCAACATACTTTATAGTTACACCCCCATTGGAAGGGAGAGGGAAAAAGGAAAGAAAAAAATAGGGAGAGAAAACAATTCTATCTGCAGAAAACAAAAATTCAAAAATCAGAAGGGGTTGCCTCTCCAAATAAGAAGAAACCAGCATAAGAATTCTGGCACCATGAAATATCTGAATATTGTAAAACCACCAAAAGACCACACTAACTCCCCAGCAATGAACCCTAAATAAATTGGCAACTCAGAAATGACAGATAAAATATTCAAAATATGATATGAAGGAAAAAATATTAAGAGCAGCCAGAGAGGTTGGGTTACCCACAAAGGAAAACCCATTAGAGTAACAGTGGATTTCTCAGCAGAAACATGACAAGCGAGAAGAGAGTGAGGGCCAATATTCAACATTCTTAAAAAAATAATAATTTTCAACCCAGAATTTCATACCCAGACAAACTAAGTTTCATAAGTGAAGGAGAAATAAAATCCTTTACAGACAAGCAAATACTGAAAGATTTTGTCACCACCAGGCCTGCCTTACAAGAATCCATGAAGGAAGCACTAAATATGGAAAGGAAAAATTGGTACCAGCCACTGCAAAAACACACCAAATTGTAAAGATCATTGACTCTGTGAAGAAACTGCATCAACTAACAAGCAAAATAACTGGCTAACATCATAGTGACAGGATCAAATTCACACATAACAATATTAACCTTAAATGTAAGTGGGCTAAATACCCTAGTTAAAAGACACAGACTGGCAAATTGGATAAAAAGTCAAGACCTATTGGTGTGCTGTATTCAGGAGACCCATCTCACATGCAGAGACACCCATAGGCTCAAAATAAAGGGATGGAGGAAGATTTACCAAGCAGATAGAAAGCAATAAAAAGCAGGGGTTGCAATCCTAGTCTGTGATAAAACAGACATTAAGCAACAAATATCAAAAGAGACAAAGAAGGCCACTACCTAATGGTAAAGGTGAGAGGTGAAGCCAGCTGGACTTCTGGGTTGGGTGGGGACTTGGAAAACTTTTCTGTTTTACAAAAGGATTGTAAAATGCACCAATCAGCGCTCTGTAAAAAACACAAATCAGTGCTCTGTAGCTAGCTAGAGGTTTGTAAACTGGACCAATCAGCACACTGTAAATGGACCAATCAGTGCTCTGAAAAATGGACCAATCAGTGCCCTGTAAAATGGACCAATCAGCACTCGGTAAAATGGACCAATCAGCAGGACATGGGTGGGGACAAATAAGGGAATAAAAGCTGGCCACCTCAGCCAGCAGAAGCAACCCTCTAAGGTCTCCTTCCATGATGTCAAAGCTTTGTTCTTTCGCTCTCCACAATAAATCTTGCTGCTACTCACTTTTTTGGTCTGCAACACCTTTAAAAGCTCTAACACTCACCACAAAGGTCCACAGCTTCATTTCTGAAGTCAACAAGACCACGAACGCACCAGAAGGAACAAAATCCAGACACAATGTAACAAGAAGAGCTAACTATCCTAAATTATATGCACCCAATACAGGGGCATCCAGATTCATAAACCAAGTTCTTACAGACCTAAAAAGAGACTTAGACTCCCACACAATAATAGTGGGAGATTTTATCACCCACTGTCAATATCAGACAGATCAATGACACAGAAAATTAACAAGGATTTTCAGGACTTGAACACAGCTCTGGACTAAGTGGACCTAATGACATCTACAGAACTCTCCATCCCAAATCAACAGAATATACATTCTTATCAGCACCACATAACACTTAGTCTAAAATTGATCACATAACTAGAAGTAAAACACTCCTGAGCAAATGAAAAGAATGGAAGTCATAACAAACAGTCTCTCAAACCACAGTGCAATCAACTTAGAACTCAGGATTAAGAGACTCACTCAAAACTGCATGATGACATGGTAACTGAACAACCTGCTCCTGAATGACTACTGAGTAACTAACGAAATTAAGGCAAAAGTAATAATGTTCTTTGAAACCAATGAGAACAAAGAAATAATGAAACAGAATCTCTGAGACACATTTAAAGCATTGTGTAGAGGGAAATTGATACCGCTAAATGTCCACAAGAGAAAGCATGAAAGATCTAAAATCAGCATCCTAACATGACATTTAAAAGAACTAGAGATTTAGTGGCAAGATGGCCAAATAGGAACAGCTCTGGTCTGCAGCTCCCAGCATGATTGAGGCAGAAGACAAGTGATTTCTGCACTTCCAACTGCGGTACCTTGTTCATCTCATTGGTACTGGTTGGACAATGGGTGCAGCCCATGGAGGGTGAGCTGAAGAAGGGTGGGGCACTGCCTCACCCAGGAAGTGCAAGGTGTTAAGGGATTTCCCTTTCTTAGTGAAGGGAAGCCGTGAGAGATGATACCTGGAAAAGCAGGACACTCTCACTCAAATACTGTGCTTTTCCCATGGTCTTAGCAACAGGCAGACTAGAAGATTCTCTCCCGTGCCTGGCTCAGTGGGTCCCATGCCCATGGAGCCTTGTTCACTGCTAGCACAGCAGTCTAAGATCAACTTGCGCGGCTGCAGCCAGGTGGGGGAAGGGGCATCCACCATTGCTAAGGCTTGAGTAGATAAACAAAGGGGCTGGGAAGCTTGAACTGGGTGGAGCCCACTGCAGCTCAGCAAGGCCTACTGCCTCTATAGAATCCAGGGCAAGGCATAGCTGAAAAAAAGGCAGCAGACAACTTCTGCAGACTTAAACATCCCTATCTGACAGCTCTGAAGAGAGCAGTGCTTCTCCCACCATGGCGTTTGAGCTCTGAGAACAGACAGACTGCCACCTCAAGTGGGTACCTGAACCCCGTGTAGCCTAACTGGGAGACAACTCCCAGTAGGGGCCAACAGACACCTCATACACGTGGGTGTCCCTCTGGGATGAAGCTTCCAGAGAAAGGAGCAGGCAGCAATATTTGCTGTTCTGCAATATTTGCTGTTCTGCAGCCTCCGCTGGTTATACCCAGGCAAAAAGGTCTGGAGTGAACCTCCAACAAACTCCAACAGACCTGCAGCTGAGGGACATGATGGTTAGAAGAAAAACTAACAAACAGAAAGGAATAGCATCAACATCAACAAAAAGGACATTCACACCAAAACCACAACTGTAGGCCAGCAACATCAAAGACGAAAGGTAGATAAAACCACAAAGATGGGGAGAGACCAGAGCAGAAAAGCTGAAAATTCTAAAAACCAGAGTGCCTCTCCTCCTCAAGGGATTACAGCTCCTCACTAGCAAAGGAACAAAGCTGGATGGAGCATGACTTTGATGAGTTGACAGAAGTAGGCTTCAGAATGTCGGTAATAACAAACTTCTCCAAGCTAAAGGAGCATGTTCTAACGCATCATAAGAAAGCTAAAAACCTTGAAAAAAAGGTTAGATGAATGGCTAACTAGAACAGTGTAGAGAAGACCTTAAATGACCTGATGGAACCAAAAACCATGGAATGAGAACTTCATGATGCATGCAGAAGCTTCAATAGTCAATAAAACCAAGTGGAAGAAAGGGTATCAGTGATCAAATATCAAATTAATTAAATAAAGAAATAAAGTGAGAAGACAAGTTTAGAGTAAAAAGAGTAAAGAGAAACAAACAAAGCCTCCAAGAAATATTGGACTATGTGAAAAGACCAAATCTACATTTGATTGGTGTACCAGAAAGTGATAGGGAGAATGGAACCAAGTTGGAAAACACTCTTCAGGAAGTGAAGAACTTCCCCAACCTAGCAAGGCAGGCCAACATTCAAATTTAGGAAACACAGAGAAAGCCACAAAGATACTCCTCGAGAAGAGCAACCCCAAGACACATAATTGTCAGATTCACCAAAGTTGAAATGAAGGAAAAAGTGTTAAGGGCAGCAGAGAGAAATCTCAGGTTACCCACAAAGGGAAACCCATCAGACTAACAGTGCCTCTCTCAGCAGAAACCATACAAGCCAAAAGAGAGTGAGGGCCAATATTTGACATTCTTAAAGAAAAGAATTTTCAACCCAGAATTTCATATCCAGCCAAACTAAGCCTCGTAAATGAAGGAGAAATAAAATCCTTTATAGACAAGCAAATGCTGAGAGATTTTGTGACCACCAGGCCTGCTTTACAAGAGCTCCTGAAGGAAGCACTAAACATGGAAAGGAACAAACCATACGAGCCACTACAAAAACATGCTAAATTGTAAAGACCATCAATGCTATGAAAAAAACTGCATCAACTAACAGGCAAAATAACAAGCTACTTCACAATGACAGGATCAAATTCTCATATAACAATATTAACCTTAAATGTAAATGGGCTAAGTGCCCCAATTAAAAGCCACACACTGTAAAATCGGATAAAAAGTCAAGACCCATCAGTGTGCTGTATTCAGGAGATGCATCTCACATGCAGAGACACAAATAGGCTCAAAATAAAGGGATGGAGGAAGATCTACCAAGCAAATAGACAGCAAAAAAAAAAAAAAAAAAAAAAAATCAGGGGTTGCAATCCTACCCTTTGATAAAACAGACTTTAAACCAACAAAGAACAAAACAGACAAAGGCCATTACATAATGGTAAAGGGATCAATTCAACAAGAAGAGCTAACTATCCTAAATATATATGCACCCAATACAGGAGCACCCAGATTCATAAAGCAGGTCCTTAGAGACCTACAAAGACTTAGGCTCCCACACAATAATAATGGCAGACTTTAACATCCTACTGTCAATGTTAAACAGATCAATGAGACAAAAGGTTAACAAAGATATCCAGATCTTGAACTCAGCTCTGGACCAAGTGGACCTGATAGACATCTACAGAACTCGCCACCCCAAATCAACAGAATATACATTCTTCTCAGCACCACATCGTGCTTATTCTAAAATTGATCACATAATTGGAAGTAAAGCACTCCTCAGCAAATGTAAAAGAATAGAAATTATAACAAACTGTCTCTCAGACCACAGTGCAATCAAATTATAACTCAGGATTAAGAAACTAACTCAAAACCACACAACCCCTTGGAAACTGAACAACCTGCTCCTGAATGACTACTGGGGACATAACGAAATGAAGGAAGAAATAAAGATGTTCTTTGAAACCAATGAGAACAAACATGCAATATACTAGAATCTCTGGGACACATTTAAAGCAGTGTGTAGACGGAAATTTATAGCACTAAATATGCACAAGAGAAAGCAGAAAAGATCTAAAATTGACACCAAAACTCACAATTAAAAGAACTAGAGAAGCAAGAGCAAACAAATTCCAAAGCTAGCAGAAGGCAAGAAATAACTAAGATCAGAGCAGTACTGAAAGAGATAGAGACACAAAAAACCCTTTAAAAAAATCAATGAATCCAGGAGCTGATATTTTGAAAAGATCAACAAAACTGATAGACCACTAGGAAGACTAATAAAGAAGAAAAGAGAGAAGAATCAAATAGATGTAATAAAAAATGATAAAGGGGATATCACCACCAATCACAGAGAAATACAAACTACAATCACAGAATACTATAAACACCTGTATGCAAATAAACTAGAATATCTAGAAGAAATGCATAAATTCCTGAACAAATACACCCTCCCAAGACTAAACCAGGAAGAATTTGAAACTCTGAATAGATTAATAACAGGCTATGAAATTAAGGCAATAATTAATAGCCTACCAACCAAAAAAAAAGTTCAGGACCAGAAGGATTCACAGCTAAATTCTACCAGAGGTACCAAGAGGAGATGGTACACTCCTTCTGAAATTATACCAACCAAGAGAAAAAGATGGAATCCTCCCTAACTAATTTTATGAGGCCAGCATCATCCTGATACCAAAGCCCAGGAGAGACACACACACAAAAAATTTCAGGCCAATATGCCTGAAGAACATCGATGCAAAAATCTTCAAAAAAATACTGGCAAACCGAATCCAGCAGCACATCAAAAAGCTTATCCACCACAATCAAGTTGGCTTCATCCCTGGGATGCAAGGCTGGTTCAACATATGCAAATCAATAAACGTAATCCAGCATATAAACAGAACCAAAGACAAAAACCACATGATTATCTCAATAGATACAGAAAAGGCCTTCAACAAAATTCAATAACCCGTCATGCTAAAAACTCTCAATAAATTAGGTATTGATGGGACGTATCTAAAAATAATAAGAGCTATTTATGACAAATGCACAGCCAATATCATACTGAATGGGCAAAAACTGGAAGCATTCCCTTTGAAAACTGGCACAAGTCAGGGATGCCCTCTCTCACCACTCCTATTCAACGCAGTGTTGGAAGTTCTCGCCGGGGCAATCAGGTAGGAGAAAGAAATTAAGGGTAATCAATTAGGAAAAGAGGAAGTCAAATTGTCCCTGTTTGCAGATGACATGATTGTGTAACTAGAAAACCACATTGTCACAGCCCAAAATCTCCTTAAGCTGATAAGCAACTTCAGTAAAGTCTCAGGATACAAAATCAATGTACAAAATTCACAAGCATTCTTATACACCAATAACAGACAGAGAGCCAAAACATGAGTGAACTCCCATTCACAACTGCTTCAAAGAGAGTAAAATACCTAAGAATCCAACTTAGGAGTGATGTTAAGGACCTCTTCAAGGAGAACTACAAACCACTGCTCAATGAAATAAAACAGGACACAAACTAATGGAAGAACATTCCATGCTCATGGATAGGAAGAATCAATATCGTGAAAATGGCCATACTGCCCAAGGTAATTTATAGATTCAATGCCATCCCCATCAAGATACCAATGACTTTCTTCACAGAATTGGAAAAAGCTACTTTAAAGATCTTGTGGAAATAAAAAAGAGCCCACATTGCCAAGTCAATCCTAAGCCAAAAGAACAAAGCTGGAGGCATCATGCTACCTCACTTCCAACTATACTGCAAGGCTACAGTAAACAAAACAGCATGGTACTTGTACCATATGGATATAGACCAATGGAACAGAACAGAGCCCTCAGAAATAATACCACACATCTACAACTATCTGATCTTTGACAAGCCTGACAAAAACAAGAAATGGGAAAGGATTCCCTGTTTAACAAATAGTGCTGGGAAAACTGGCTAGCCATATGGAGAAAGCTGAAACTGGATCCCTTCCTTACACCTTATACAAAAATTAATTCAAGATGGATTAAAGACTTACATGTTAGACCTAAAACCATAAAAACCCTAGAAGAAAACCTAGGCAATACCATTCAGGACATTGGCATGGGCAAGGACTTCACATCTAAAACACAAAAAGCAATGGCAACAAAAGCCAAAATTGACAAATGGGATCTAACTAAACTAAAGAGATTCTGCACAGCAAAAGAAACTACCATCAGAGTGAATAGGCAACCTACAGAATGGGAGAAAATTTTTGCAATCTACTCATCTGACAAAGGCCTAATATCAAGAATCTACAAAGAAATCAAACAAATTTACAAGAAAAAAAACCCCATCAAAGTGTGGGTGAAGGATATGAACAGACACTTCTCAAAAGAAGACATTTATGCAGCCAAAAGACACATGAAAAAATGTTCATCATCATTGGCCATCAGAGAACTGCAAATCAAAACCACAATGAGATACCATCTCACACCAGTTAGAACAGTGATCATTAAAAAGTCAGGAAACGACAGGTGCTGGAGAGGATATGGAGAAATAGGAACACTTTTACACTGTTGGTGGGACTGTAAACTAGTTTAACCATTGTGGAAGTCACTGTGGCAATTCCTCAGGGATATAGAACTGGAAATACCATTTGACCCAGCCATCCCATTACTGGGTAAATACCCAAAAGATTATAAACCATGCTGCTATAAAGACACATGCACATGTACATTTATTGCGGCACTATTCACAATAGCAAAGACTTGGAACCAACCCAAATGTCCATCAATGATAGACTGGATTAAGAAAATGTGGCACATATACACCATGGAATACTATGCAGCCTTAAAAAAGGATGAGTTCATGTCCTTTGTAGGGACATGGATGAAGCTGGAAACCATCATTCTCAGCAAACTATGGCAAGGAGAAAAAACCAAACACCGTATGTTCTCACTCATAGGTGGGAATTGAACAATGAGAACACTTGGACACAGGAAGGAGAATATCACACACTGGGGCCTGTCGTGGGGTGGGGGTGGGGGGAGGGATAACATTAGGAGATATACCTAATGTAAATGATGAGTTAATGGGTGCAGCACACCAACATGGCACATGTATACATATGTAACAAACCTGCACATTGTGCACATGTACCCTACAACTTAAAGTATAAAAATATATATATATTTACATATATAAAGAAAACTGGCACAAGACAAGGATGCCCTCTCTCATCACTCCTATTCAACATAGTGTTGGAAGCTCTGGCCAGGGCAATCAGGCAGGCAGGAGAAAGAAATAAAGGGTATTCAATTAGGAAAAGAGGAAGTTAAATTGTCCCTGTTTGCAGATGACATGATTGTGTATTTAGAAAAACCATCGTCTCAGCCCAAAATCTCCTTAAGCTGATAAGCAACTTCAGCAAAGTCTCAGGATACAAAATCAATGTGCAAAAATCACAAGCATTCATATACACAAAAAAGAGACAAACAGAGAGCCAAATCATGAGTGAACTCCCATACAAAATTGTTATAAATAGAATAAAATACCTAGGAATCCAACATACAAGAGATGTGAAGGACCTCTTCAAGGAGAACTACCAACCACTGCTCAACAAAATAAAAGAGGACACAAAGAAATGGAAAAAATATTCCATGCTCTTGGATAGGAATAATAAATATTGAGAAAATGGCCATACTGGGAGGTTCCAAGGTGGCCGAATAGGAAGAGCTCCAGTCTACAGCTCCCAGTGTGAGCAATGTAGAAGATGGGTGATTTCTGCATTTCCAACTGAGGCACTGGGTTCATCTCACTGGGGCTTGTCAGACAATGGGTACAGCCCATGGAGTGTGAGCTGAAGCAGGGCAGGGCATCGCCTCACCTGGGAGGCACAAGGGGTGGGGGAATTCCCTTTCCAAGCCAAGGAAAGCCATGACAGATGGTTCCTGGAAAATTGGGACACTCCCACCCTAATACTGTGCTTTTCCAATGGCCTTAGCAAATGGCACACCAGGAGATTATATCCCATGCGTGGCTCAGAGGGTCCCATGCCCACAGAACCTCGCTCAATGCTAGCACAGCAGTCTGAGATCAAAATGCAAGGTGGCAGCAAGGCTGGGGGATGGGCGTCCACCACTTCTGAGGCTTGAGTAGGTTAACAAAGCAGCCAGGAAGCTCGAACTGGGTGGAGACCACCGCACCTCAAGGAGGCCTGCCTGCCTCTGTAGACTACACCTTTGGGGGCAGGGCATAGCTGAACAAAAGGCAGCAGAAACTTCTGCAGACTTAAACGTCCCTATCTGACAGCTTTGAAGAAAGTGGTGTTTCTCCCAACAGGAAGTTTGAAATCTGAGAATGGACAGACTGCCTCCTCAAGTGGGTACCTGGCTCCCGAGTAGCCTAACTGGGAGACACCTCCTAGTAGGGGCCGACTGACACCCCATACAGCCCGGTGCTCCTTTGAGACAAAGCTTCCAGAGGAAGGATCAGGCAGCAACATTTGCTGTTCTGCAATATTTGCTGTTCTGCAGCCTCCACTGGTGATATCCAGGCAAACAGGGTCTGGAGTGGACCTCCAGCAAACTCCAACAGGCCTGCACCTGAGAGTCCTGACTATTAGAAGGAAAACTAACAAACAGAAAGGAAACCCAGACCAAAACACCATCTGTATGTCACCATTATCAAAGACAAAAGGTAGATAAAACCACAAAGATGGGAGTAACGAGAGCAGAAAATCTGAAAATTCTAAAAATCAGAGCACCTCTTCTCCTCCAAAGGAAGCAGCTCCTTGCCAGCAACAGAAGATAGCTGGACAGAGAATGACTTTCACGAGTTGAGAGAAGAAGGCTTCAGATGATCGGTAATAACAAACTTCTCCAAGCTAAAGGAAGATGTTTGAACCCATCACAAAGAAGTTAAAACCTTGAAAAAAGATTAGACGAATGGCTAACTAGAATAAACAGCATAGGGAAGACCTTAAATGACCTGATGGAACTGAAAACCATGTCATGAGAACTATGTGATGCATGCACAAGCTTCAGTAGCCGATTCAATCTAGTGGAAGAAAGGGTATCAGAGACTGAAGATCAAATGAATGAAATGAAGCTAGAAGGGAAGTTTAGAGAAAAAAGAGTAAAAAGAAATGAACAAAGCCTCTAAGAAATATTTGACTATGTGAAAAGACCAAATCTACATCTGATTGGTGTACCTGAAAGTGATGGGGAGAATGGAACCAAGTTGGAAAACACTCTTCAGAATATTATCCAGGAGAACTTCCCCAACCTAGCAAGAGAGGCCAACATTCACATTCAGGAAATACAGAAAATGCCACAAAGATACTCCTCGAGAAGAGCAACCCCATGACACATAATTGTCAGATTCACCAAAGTTGAAATGAAGGAATAAATATTTAGGGCAGCCAGAGAGAAAGGTTGGGTTACCCCCAAAGGGAAGCCCATCAGACTAACAGCGGATCTCTCAGCAGAAACTCTACAAGCCAGAAGAGAATGGGAGCCAATATTCAACATTCTTAAAGAAAAGAGTTTTCAACCCAGAATTTCATATCCAGCCAAATTAAGCTTCATAAACGAAGGAGAAATAAAATCCTTTACAGACGAGCTAATGCTGAAGAATTTTGTCACCACCAGGCCTGCCTTACAAGAGCTCCTGCAGGAGGTGCTAAACATGGAAAGGAACAACTGGTATGAGCCACTGTAAAAAAGTGTCAAATTGTAAAGACCATCATTGCTAGGAAGAAACTGAGCCAACTAACAAGCAAAATAACCAGCTAACATCATAATGACAGGATCAAATTCACAGAATATTAACCTTAAATGTAAATGGGCCAAATGCTCCAATTAAAAGGCACAGACTGGAAAATAGGATAGAGTCAAGACCCATCAGTGTGCTGAATTGAGGTGACTTATCTCACGTGCAGACACACATAGGCTCAAAATAAAGGGATGGAGGAAGATCTACCAAGTAAATGGAAAGCAAAAAAATGCAGGGGTTGCAATCCTAGTCTCTGATAAAACAGACTTTAACCAACAAAGATCAAAAGAGACAAACTAGGCCAATATATAATGGTAAAGGGATCAATTCAACAAGAAGAGCTAACTATCCTAAATATATATGCACCCAATACAGGAGCACCCAGATTCATAAAACAGGTCCTTAGAGACCTACAAAGAGACTTAGACTCCCACACAATAATAATGGGAGGCTTTAACACCCCACTGTCAACATTTGACAGATCGAGACAGAAAGTTAATAAGGATATCCAGGAATTGAACTCAGCTCTGCACCAAGTGGACCTAATAGACATCTACAGAACTCTCCACCCCAAATCAACAGAATATACATTCTTCTCAGCACCACATTGCACTTATTCCAAAATTGACCACATAGCTGGAAGTAAAGCACTCCTCAGCAAATGTAAAAGAATAGAAATTATAACAAACTGTCTCTCAGACCACGGTGCAATCAAACTAGAACTCAGGATTAAGAAACTCACTCAAAACTGCTCAACTACATGGAAACTGAACAACCTGCTCCTGAATGACTACTGGGTAAATAATGAAATGAAGTCAGAAATAAAGATGTTCTTTGAAATCAATGAGAACAAAGACACAACACACCAGAATTTCTGGGACACATTTAAAGCAGTGTGTAGATGGAAATTTATAGCACTAAATACCCACAGGAGAAAGCAGGAAAGGTCTAAATTTGACACCCTAACATCACAATTAAAAGAACTAGAGAAGCAAGAGCAAATATATTCAAAAGCTAGCAGAAGACAAGAAATAACTAAGATCAGAGCAGAACTGGAGGAGATAGACACAGAAAACCCTTCAAAAAGTTAATGAATCCAGGAGCTGGTTTTTTGAAAAGATCAACAAAATTGATAGACTGCTAGCAAAAATAATAAAGGAGAAAATAGAGAAGAATCAAATAGACACAATAAAAAATGATAAAGGGGATATCACCACTGATCCCACAGAAATACAAACTACCATCAGAGATTACTATAAACACCTCTACGCAAATAAACTAGAAAATCTAAAAGAAATGGATAAATTCCCGGACACATACACCCTCCCAAGACTAAACCAGGAAGAAGTTGAATCTCTGAATAGACCAATAACAGGCTCTGAAATTGAGGCAATAATTAATAGCATACCAACCAAAAAAAGTCCAGAACCAGAGGGATTCACAGCTGAATTCCACCAGAGGTACAAAGAGGAACTGGTGCCATTCCTTCTGAAACTATTCCAATCAATAGAAAAAGAGGGAATTCTCTCTAATCATTTTGTGAGGCCAGTATCATACTGATACCAAAGCCTGGCAGAGACACACAAAAAAAGAGAATTTTAGACCAATATCCCTGATGAACATCGATGCAAAAATCCTCAATAAAATACTGGCAAACTGAATCCAGCAGCACATCAACAAGCTTATCCACCACGATCAAGTTGGCTTCATCCACCACGATCAAGTTGGCTTCATCCCGGGGATGCAAGGCTTTTTCAACATATGCAAATCAATAAACGTAATCCATCATATAAACAGAACCAAAGACAAAAACCACATGATTATCTCAATAGATGTAGAAAAGGCCTTCGACAAAATTCAACAGCTCTTCATGCTAAAACTCTCAATAAATTAGGTATTGATAGAACATATTTCAAAATAATAAGAGCTATTTATGACAAACCCACAGCCAATATCATACTGAATGGGCAAAAACTGGAAGAAATTCCTTTGGAAACTGGCACAAGACAAGGATGCCCTCTCTCACCACTCCTATTCAATATAATATTGGAAGTTCTGCCCAGGGCAATCAGGCAAGAGAAAGAAATAAAGGGTATTCAATTAGGAAAAGAGGAAGTCAAATTGTTCCTGTTTGTAGATGACATGATTTTATATTTAGGAAATCCCCATTGTCTCAGCCCAAAACCCCTTAAATTGTTAAGTAACTTCAGCAAAGTCTCAGGATACAAAAATCAAGGTGCAAAAATCATAAGCATTCCTATACACCAATAATAGATAAACAGAGAGCCAAATCATGAGTGAACTCCCATTCACAATTGCTACAAAGAGAATAAAATACCTAGGAATCCAAATTACAAAGGATGTGAAGGACCTCTTCAAGGAGAACTACAAACCACTGCTCAACGAAATAAAAGAGGACACAAACAAATGCAAGAACATTCCATGCTCATGGATAGGAAGAAACAATATCATGAAACTGGCCATACTGCCCAAGGTAAGTTATAGATTCAATGCCATCCCCATCAAGCTACCATTGAGTTTCTTCACAGAATTCAAAATAACTACTTTCATTTTCATAGGGAACCAAGGAAGAGCCAGTATAGCCAAGACAATCCTCAGCAAAAAGAACAAAGCTGGAGGCATCATGCTACCTGACTTCAAACTATATTACAAGGCCGAAGTAATAAAAACAGCATGGTACTGTTACCAAAATGGATATATAGATCAATGGAACAGAACAGAGGCCTCAGAAATAACACCACACATCTACAGCCATTTGATCTTTGACAAACCTGACAAAAAAAGAAATAGGGGAAGGATTCCCTTTTTAATAAATGGTGTTGGGAAAACTGGCTAACCATATGGAGAAAGCTGAAACTGGATCCCTTTCTTACAAGTTATACAAAAATTAATTCAAGATGGATTAAAGACTTAAACATAAGCCCTAAAACCATAAAAACCCTAGAAGAAAACCTACGCAATACCATTCAGGACATAGGCATGGGCAAGGACTTTATGACTAAAATACCAAAAGTAATGGCAACAAAAACCAAAATTGACTAATGAGATCTCATTAAACTAAAGAGCTTCTCCAGAGCAAAAGAAACTATCGTCAGAGTGAACAGGCCACCTAGAGAATGGGAGAAAATTTTTGCAATCTATCCATCTGACAAAGGGCAACTATCCAGAATCAACAAAGAACTTAAACAAATTTAAAAGAAAAAAAAACAACCCCATCAAAAAGTGGGTGAAGGATATCAACAGACCCTTCTCAAAAGAAGACATCTATGTGGCCAAAAAACATATGAAAAAAAGCTCGTCATCACTGGTCATTAGAAGAATGCAAATCAAAACCACAATGAGATACCATCACATGCCAGTTAGAATGGCGAACATTAAAAGTCAGGAAACAACAGATGTTGGAAAGGATATGGAGAAATAGAATATTTTTACACTGTTTGTGGGAATGTAAATTAGTTCAATCATTGTGGAAGGCAGTGTGGCAATTCCTCAAGGATCTAGAACTAGAAATAACATTTGACCCAGCAATCCCATTACTGGGTATATACCCAAAGGATTATAAGCCCTTCTACTATAAAGACACATGCACATGTATATTTATTGCAGCACTGCTCACAACAGCAAAGACTTGGAACCAACACAAATGCCAATCAATGATAGACAGATAGAGAAAATATGGCACATGTACATCATGGAATACTATGTAGCCATTAAAAAGGATGAGTTCACATACTTTGCAGGGACATGGATGTAGCTGGAAACCATCATTCTCAGCAAACTAACACAAGAACAGAAAACTAAACACTGTGTGTTCTCACTCATAAGTGGGAAATGAACAATGAGAACACATGGACACAGGGAGGGATAGCATTAGGAGAAATACCTCATGTAGGTGACAGGATGATGGGTGCAGCAAACCACCATGGTGCGTATATACCTATGTAGCAAAACTGCACGTTCTGCAGATGTACCCCAGAACTTAAGGTATAATTTAAAAATTTTAAAAAATACCCATCCTTCTACTGTCTTCAAGAGTACAAGGCTAATCTTTTACTAGTAGATATAGAAGCTCCATCTCAGACCTAGAAGACCCATCTCAGGCCTAGAAAACCCTAAAGAACCTTCCAAAAAGCTCCTGGAAGTGATATACAACTCCAGTGAAATTTCAGCACACAAAATAAATGTACAAAACTCAGTACCATTTGTATACATCAAAAATGTTCATGCTGAAAGCCAAATCAAGAATGCCATCCCATTTAAAATAGCCATAGTGGGGGGTGGGGGTGGAATGGAACCTAGGAATACAGCTAACAAAGGGGCAAACGGTCTCTACAAGGAGAGCTACAAAACACTGTTGAACAAAATCATAGATTACACTAACAAATGAAAAAACAGTTCATGCTTATGGATTAAAACAATCAATATCATTAAAATGGCTAGACTGCCCAAAGCTATCTACAGATTCAATGCTATTCCTATCAAACTACCAATGTCATTTTTCACAGAATAAGGAAAAACTATTCTAAAATTCGTTTGAAACCAAAGAAGAGCCCAAGTAGCCAAAGCAATACAGAAGCCAGAAATAAAGCCACACACCTATAGCCATCTGATCTTCAACAAAGTTGACAAAAATAATCAATCAGGAAAGGACTCTCTATTCAGTAAATTGAACTAGGATAACTGGCTAGCCATACGCAGAATAAAACTGGAACACTTCCTTGCACCATATACAAAAATTAACTCGAAATGGATTAATGATCTAAGTTTAAAACATCAAACTAACAATCCTATAGAAAAAAATATATGTAATACCATTCTGGATACAGGCTTTTGCAAAGAATTTATGAATAATCCCTCAAAAGCAATTGGAACCAAAATGAATATTGACAAGTGGGACCTAATTAAAGTAAAGAGCTTCTGCACAGCAAGACAGAGTATCAACACAATAAACAGACAACCTACAGAATGGGGACAAAATATTTGCAAACTGTGATTCTAACAATGGTCCAATAGCGAGAATCTATAAGGTACTTAGACAATTCAACAAGTTAAAAAACAAATAACTTCATTAAAAAGTGGGCAAAGAACATATGTCCTTCCAAAGAAGACATACACATGGCCAACAAGCATATGACAAAATGCTGAACATCACTTATCATCAGAGAAATGCAAATCAAAACCACAATGAGATATCATCTCATACCAGTCAGAATGGATATGATTAAAAAGCCAAAAAATAACAGATGTTGGTAAGGCTGCAGAAAAAAGGGAAAACTTATACACTACTGGTGGAAATGTAAGTTAGTTCAGCCACTATGGAAAGCAGTTTGGAAATTTCTCAAAGAACTAAAAACAAAATTATCATTTGATGCAGCAATTCCACTACTGGGTACATATCCAGTGGAAAACAAATTGTTATACCAAAAAGACACATGTGCTCATATGTCCATCTCTGCACTATTCACAATAGCAAAGACACAGAAGCAACCAATGGTGTGTGGCATAAAGAAAATGTGGTATATATACACTATGAAATGCTATGCAGCCATAAAAAAAATCATGTCTTTGCAGCAACATAGATGCAGCTGGAGGCCATTGTCTTGAGAGAATTAATGCAGCAACAGAAAATCAAATGCCACGTGTTCTCATATAAAAGTGGGACACAAAGATGGAAACAATACACACTGGGAATTACTATAGATGGTAGAGAGATATAAAGGCAAGAGCTGAAAAACTACCTATTGGGTACTATTCTCACTACCTGGGTGATGAAATTATTTGTACCCTAAACTTCAGCATCACACAATAAACCCATGTAACAAACTTGAACATGCACTTCCTGAATCTAAAATAAAAGTTGAAAATTTTTTTAAAAAGAAAGTATTTCATATGGTATCATTTTAAAATCAGGCAAGCAATGATCATAACTAAATACAAAATTTAAGGTAAACTTGCCTTTCAAACTAAACCAGACCCTTGCAAAAGAGGAAAAAAGAATATCTAATACCTAAATAAATTGAAAACTCTTCAATGTTCCAGGATTGGAAGACTTAATATTGTTAAGATGGCAATACTCCTCAAAGTGATCTAAAAATTCTATGCAATCCCTACCAAAATACCCGTGACCTTTTTCCAGAAATGGGAAAGTTGATTGTCCAATTCATATGCAACTACATGGTGATGAAGCAGCTACATTACCTGGGATATATACCCTCAGGTTTGTCATCGTACCCCAGGAAAATTTAGGACATGGACACATCTGAGTGGGTTAAGGAGCAGGTAGTTTAATAACAGAAGAAAGGAGAAAAAGAGCAGCTTCTTGTGAGAGAGAGAGAGAGAGACATCCAAAGAGGGGGAAGGAGGCGGACCACAGCAGATTTTATAGGCAGGCCGGAAAAGGCAGTGTCTGATTTATATAGGGCCCAAAGATTGGCTCAATCAGGTGTGGCATTTACATAGTGGGCAGGGAAGGCTGGCCAACCCACTCTAATGTTATTATGCAAATGGACTTTCCACTTGACCAGCGCCATCTTGTCTGCTCCTTACTGTACATGTGGCTGGCAAAGGGAAGGGAAGATAGAGCTGCCATTTTGAACATGCCTAGTCACAGGTAGTTCTTTCCTATCAGCATTCACCGGGCAGGCTTCCAGCTTGCTTGTCTATGACTGCAGCTCGATTTTACGCGATGCTCTTTGCCAGACAATGATTTAGGGTTGCTTTTCATTAAAAAGAAAAACCTTACTGAGAATTCCCAAATGCTTACTCTCTGCCTAAGTAATTTCTTCTTAATTTCTGTATCAGTGAGTTCTCAGTTTCTGACTTCAAAACTTACTACAAAGTATAATAATCAAAAGTGTGGTACTAGCATAAAGATAGACATCAAGACCAATGGAATAAAACTGAAATCAAGAAATAAACCTAAACATCTGTGGCCAATTTACTTTCATCAAGGGTGCCTAGACCATTCAGTCCGAGGAAAGAATCTCTTCAACAAATGGTGATGAGTCAATTGGATGACAAAATACAAAAGAATGTAGCTGGGACCTACCCTACCTCACTCCAAATGAAAAATATAACTGAAAAATGGACGGAAAAACTTAAATATAAGGGCTAAAACTATAAAACTCTTAGAATAAAATGTAGGGGTAAATCTTCATGACTTCATATTTGGCAATAGGTTCATAAATTTGATACCAGAGGAGCAAAAGAAAAAATAGATAAACCAAACTTCATCAAAATTAAACTTTGTGCATCAAAAATATAATTAGGAATGTGAAATGACAACCAACAGAATGGGAGGAAATATTTTCATATTATGTATATGTAAGAGTTTAATGTTTTGAAAACATAAACAATTCTAATAGCTTAAAAAGAAAAATAAAGGCAACTTAATTTAAATAGGAAATGGACTTGAATAACATTTCTCCAAAGAAGATATACAAATGGGTAACAGTATATTAAAAGAAGTTCAAAATCACTGGTCATTAAATACAAGTTAAAACCACAATGAGAGCTGGGCATGGTGGCTCACACCTGTAATCCCAGCACTTAGGGATGCCAAGGTGGGCAGATCACCTGAGGTCAAGAGTTCGAGACCAGCCTGGCCAACATGGTGAAACCCTATCTCTACCAAAAATATAAAAATTAGTCAGGTATGGTGGCACATTCCTGTAATCCCAGCTACTCTGAAGGCTGGGGCAGGAGAATTGCTTGAATGAGATCATGCTACTGCACTCGAGCCTAGGCAACAGAGTGAGACTCTGTCTCAAAATAAATAAATAAATAAATAAATAATGAGATACCACTTTACATTCACTAGGAGGGCTTTAATAAACACAGAAAATTACAAGTATTAGCAACTATGTGGAGAAACAGAAATCCTTCTACATTGCTGGAAGGAATATAAAATGCCACATTCACTGTAGAAAAATTTGGCTCTTATACAAGAAGATAAACATAAAATTACCATTTGACCCAGCAAATCAACTCCTGAGAATACACCCAAGAATGATGAAAACATGCCCATAAAGAAACATACACAAATGGTTAAAGAAAGATTATCTATAAGAGCCAAAAGTTGGAAACAATGCAAATGTCCACAAACAGATGAATAACAATTTGTGATAAATGTGCATAGAAAATAAAATATACTTTATCCACAAAAAGAATGAAGTACAGATATATGCTACAACTTAGATGAGCCTCCAAAACATTGTAAGTGTAAGGACCCAGAAATAAAAGGTTGCATATGCTATGAATTCTTTATATATCCATAACACGCAAACCCATAGAGACAGAAAAAAGATTAGAGGTTATTACATGATGGAGTGGGGGAATGGAGTGATTATTTAGCGAATATAATACGTTTTTGTGGCGTGATAAAAACATTTTGAAACCAGAGAAAGCTGATGGTTGCACAACATTGTGAATACATTAAATACCACTTAGGTGTATGCTTTAAACTGGTTAATTGTATGTTGTGTGAATTTTACTTCAATTTTTAAAATGGCATAACTCCCTGTTCTACAGATTTAATGCAATCCTGTCAAAATTCCCATTGGCTCCTTTGAAGAAATTGACAAGTTGATCCTAAATTTCATATGAAGATTCAAGGGACCCAGAATAGTGAAAACAGTATTGAAAAAGAACAACAAAAGACTCACACTCCTTGATTTAATAAGTTGATATTAATACAAAGGTACAGTAATTAAGACTTCAAGATGGTGTACTATAGGCATTAGGACAGACACATAGATCAATGGAGTAGAATTGAGAGCCCCCCAAAAAAAACCCTTCACACATTTATAGTCAATTGGGTTTTGACAAGGTTGTCAAGACAATTCAATAGGAGGAAAAAATAGCCTCTTCAAAAATGGTGCAATGACAAAAGAGGTGATGTTTACACGGTATCTGATAGATACCAAATTCCAATTCTTATCTGTACAAATCATTTTAGTTTACACTCAATGAAGCCTTCCCTCTTCCATCCACCTACTCTTTTCCATCACACACCTCTACACCTCCATGTAAAGCATTCCAACCCATCTGAAACCCCTCTTCTGACTCTCACTGCAAATATTTTAAGGCCTATTTCAATCTGCAGGAATGCAGGAAACCCACCTAGGTTAAACCATTCTTTCCCATTCTCCAATAAACTGTGTGCAATAATGATGCCCATTTTCATCCTATGACATAATATTTTATATTTTCTAACTTGTTCATAATTGCTTCCATTTCACCTAAAACCTGCATTTTGTTTCCCCTTGGGTAGATTTTTGTTATTGTTATTATTATTATACTTTAAGTTCTGGGATACATGTGCAGAACGTGCAGGATTGTTAAATAGGTACACACGTGCCATGGTGGTCTCCTGCACCTATGAACTTGTCATCTACATTAGGTATTTCTCTTAATGTTATCCCTCCCCAAGCCCTCCACCCCTTGACAGGCCCCAGTGTGTGATGTTCCTCATCCTGTGTCTATGTGTTCTCATTGTTCAACTGCCACTTATGAGTGAGAACATACGGTGTTTGGTTTTCTGTTCCTGTGTTAGTTTACTGAGAGTGGGGGCTTCCAGCTTCATCTATGTCCCTGCAGAGGACATGAATTCATCTTTTTTATGCCTCCATAGTATTTTATGGTGTATATGTGCCACATTTTCTTAATCCAGTCTGTCATTGATGTACATTTGGGTTGATTCCAAGTCTTGGCTATTGTGAATAGTGGCACAATAAACAAATGTGTACATGTGTCTTTATAATAGAATAATTTATAATCCTTTGGATATATATCCAGTAATTGGATTGCTGGGTCAAATGGTATTTCTAGTTCTAGATCCTTGAGGAATTGCCACACTGCCTTCCACAATGATTGAACTAATTTACGCTCCCACAAACAGAGTAAAAACATTTCTATTTTTCCACATCCTCTTCAGCATCTGTTATATCCTGACTTTTTAATGATCGCCATTCTAACTGGCATGAGATGGTATCTCATTGTTGTTTTTATTTGCATTTCTCCAATGACTTCTTTTGAAAAGTGTCTGTTCATATCCTTCACTCACTTTTTGATGGAGATGTTTTTTATTTTCTTTTAAATTTAAGTTCCTCCTGTGCTGATCTCACTGGAAGCTGCAGAACAGAGCTTTTCCTATCCTGACATCCTTATTGTTCAGATAGATTATATTTATCTAAACAATTTCTTCTATGTATTCTAATTATTTAACAATTTAATTTTACATTTTCTATGATGCTTACTGGATATTCATGCATACAATAAAAACTTAAATATGCTTCTCAAGCATTACTCCTTGACCTGTTAAACATCCGTAGTAAACACAAAACTAGTCAATGAATCACAAATACGCAAGCAGTCACATAACTAAGCTTTTGTTAACATTTTACCTTCTCCATTTTGATCAGGAAGCAATCAATAAAGTCCCGAGGGTTGTTGATGTCCATCGATTCTTGGTGTTCTTTTACTTTCTCCAAAATATCACTTTCCATAAAAGCAAGGTTTTTAAGTAATTTGTTATGGGTTCCCGGGAAATAATCAATGATAGTGGGAAAATTATTGCATATCTAAGAGAAAACAATAATTTATTAAATTAAAAGCATTTAATAAAGGTATAGATACAATATGCCAAGCTCTGGTTGTAATTTAAAACTATAAATATAAATAAAATATATTGTATATCTTGATGGGGAAATTTTTATTGTACATGTGTAGTAATTCTCTGATTATACAAGATTTGAGAAAGAAAATTCTGACAAGAGAATCAAAGATGATAATCATTTCCTAGACTTATACCTGCTTTTGATAGTATAAAAGCATCTTTATATTAATTCTCTTACTTTTTACAACAATTCTTCTCTACAATCTTGAAATATAAGATGGTATGAATTACTACATTAACATTTTGGAGATGATAGCATAGGTTAAAAGAGTTTGCACAACCTGATTGATACTACAAAGATAGTCCCTGCTATATTGATTTCTATCAAGCAGCCTCTGAAATTGAATTAGTATTTTAGAAGTGGGAGGGGCTCAAAGATACTTCAAATTCCAACTGTGCACCAGAGCAGTTAAATGACTTCTGTAAAATCATACAATTATTATTTAGGCAGAGTATAAAACATGCCAATTCAGCACAGGGTAAAAGTGTGATGTCTGTTTATGGTTCATACACCAAAAAAACAATAATTTTTTCATTCCTAACCAGCTGTCTCATCAGCTAGAATCCCAACTGAGACATCAAACACCTCTGCCCTATTCAGTGTTTCTTGGCAGCTTCTGTGGTTCCAAATATTCTCTGTCCTTGAAGGAGATAATGTCTTTTAGATTAGGATATTTCTGTCACACAATATGACAAAGTGTGAATTGAAGGACAAGCCTTGTGAGTAATGGAAGACTCCAAAGTGCCTGGATGTCCATGGAGTGATATAAGCACGCTTTGGGGCTGTCACCAAAGTACTTTATAGAAACAGGGCTTTGGAGTTTAGTGGAAAAAACACTGATCAGGGAGCTAATGGGCTTAGAAGCCTGATCTATATTGGGATATTCATTTCCTGTGCATAAAATAAAGAACTTTGCCATCTTTTCCAGATATTCACCCCATGGCTGTCTAGGCAAGACTGTAGTATTCAAAAATGTACTTCAGGGCTTGGTCAATATAGAATTTTGGATTTCCCAGAAAAAAAGACTGTAAGTGGTTTCTCAGGAAGCAAAAAACTTGGCCTTACCTGGATCCAGGGGGTGCTTACAATCCTGATGTTTTCATTCAATTTTTCCATCAAGTTAAGAAATTGCTGATCTTTATAATCGAAACGTTTCTGGAAAATAATGGAGCAGATCACATTGCAGGGAGCACAGCCCAGGATGAAAGTGGGATCACAGGGTGAAGCTAAATGATTGGAAACAATTTTAAAATATGAGTAAACATTAGATATAAAACACTTCATATTTGTTAACAGATAATAATAGTTTAGAAATTTTAAGTAATATCTTACCTATGAATTCCCTTAAAAGCAAAAAAGAGTTTGGCATGCATAAAATCAACACATCACTTTTACATTAATCTCGAATTAACAATTACAGCCTAGCTGGTTAAATAATGGTTGCTCAAATGCTAAATTTACATTCCCGGCCTATTTGTCTTTTACTTTGGAAAGAAAAAAAGAGACTTTTTTAGAAACCAAATAATTCAAGTTTCAGAGGGAATCACATCAGTCTGCAAAGTCTGTAGACAACAAAGCACTGAGATAGAAAGGGTGAGAATAGTTGGGGATTTCAAAGCTTTTTATATTACAACAAATAGCTCAAAGAATCATGTATTGAACCAGTAGAGAGGAACTAGAGAGACTAGGGGTGAATTCATGTATTTGAGAAAATAAATGTAAGAAGCAGAATGTGTTTTATGAGAACAAATACAAACATAAATGAATAGAATGTCTAACATAGATTAGTTTGTCAAAAAAATTAAACAAAAACTTGTTATTTGAAATGTAAATCCCAGATAAGGCAAACAAGGAAAAGTAAATTAGATAGGGCACACTGGCTCATGCCTGTAATCCCAGCACTTTGGGAGGCCAAGGCAGGTGGATCACCTGAGGTCAGGAGTTCAAGACCAGCCTGGCCAACATGGTGAACCCCATCTCTGCTAAGGATGCAAAAATTAGTCGAGTGTGGTGGTGGGTGCCTGTAATCCCAGCTACTTGGGAGGCTGAGGCAGGAGAATCACTTGAATCCAGGAGGCAGAGGTTGCAGTGAGCTGATATCACACAAGTGCACTTCAGCCTGGCAAAAGAGTGAGACTCCAACTCAAAAAAAAAAAAAGAAAAGAAAAGAAAAAGGAAAAAAAGTAAATTAATAAATGGAGTTTTTAGTTTCTTCTTTAGTTTTTTAAAAATGAATTTTCTTCTCTAGGAATTAAATGCCCATCATCTCTAATCATCCTTCAAATTTAACTTATTTGAAATTTGACATTGATTAGACCAAGTCTATCATTTAATAGCTAAATAAATTAAATTATACAAAAGGTTTTCTTGTTTGGTGGAGGATCTCTGAAATAAAGTTGTTGTAATCAAGTGATTGTTAAACTTTATATTTTTTAATTTTTAATTTTACTTTAAGTTCTGGGACACGTGTGCAGAATTGTGCAGATTTGTTACATAGGTATACATGTGCCATGGTGGTTTGCTGCATCTATGAACCTGTCATCTAGGTTTTAAGCTCCACATGCATTAGGTATTTGTCCTAATGCTTTCCCTCCCCTTGCCCCCCAACCCCTCAACAGGCCCTGGTGTGTGATGTTACCCTTCCTGTGTCCATGTGTTCTCATTTTTCAACTCCCACTTATAAGTGAGAACATGCAGTGTTTGGTTTTCTGTTCCTCTGTTAGTTTGCTGAGGATGGTGGTTTCCAGCTTCATCCATGTCCCTGCAAAGGACATGAACTCATTCTTTTTAATGGCTGCATAGTAGTCCACAGTGTATATGTGCCACATTTTCTTTATCCAGTGTGTCATTGATGGGCATTTGGGTTGGTTCCAAGTCTTTGCTATTGTAAATAGTGCTGCAATAAACATACGTTTGTATGTATCTTTATAGTAGAATGGTTTATAGCCCTTTGGGTATATACCCAGTAATGGGATTGCTAGATCAAATGGAATTTCTGGTTCTAGCATTGAGGAATCGCCACACTGTCTTCCACAGTGGTTGAAATAATTTACACTTCCACCAACAGTGTAAAAGCTTTCCTATTTCTCCACATTCTCACCAGCATCTCTTGTTTCCTAACTTATTAATGATCACCATTCTAACTGGCATGAGATTTTACCTCATTGTGGTTTTGATTTGCATTCTCTAATGACCAGTGATGAGCTTTTTTTCATATGTTTGTTGGCCACATAAATGTCTTCTTTTGAGAAGTGTCTGTTGATATCCTTCACCTACTTTTTGATGGGGTTGTTTGTAGGAGATCCATCAGAGTGGTGGGAGAAAGTATAGGGAAAGGAGCAGGCCTTCTGAAAGGTCGGAAGGCTCTGCATAGTTTCAGGTGAGAATAGCTGAACGCAGCTGTTCTCTGACCGTGAGGGAGAGGACGAGGAGTATGTACAAGGGAGGGAAGGGGAAGTCATCTTGAACAGGCTTGTTTACTTATGTTGACCAGGAACTGACCTTTGATCATCCATTCTTGATGTTCCCTGAAAGGGGAACAATAAATATTAATTACCTACAGATTGCATGGGCTCCAGGTTTTCAGCATTGTGCCTGCACTGAATAAAAACATGCAGCTCCAGCTTCTCGAGGCTACACTCTGGCCACTTGAGCCAGACAGTCCCCTAGCTGCTCTTACACCTCATACCTGTATATGAGTACTCATTTCATCCATTGGCCAGGGTCTGCAGGACAGACCCAGCAGTTTTTTTTTGTTGTTGTTGTTTTCTTTTTTTCTTGTAAATTTGTTTAAGTTCCTTGTGGATTCTGGATATTAGACCTTAGTCAAATGGACAGATTGCAAAAATTTTCTTCCATTCTGTAGGTTGCCTGTTCACTCTTATGATAGTTTCCTTTGCTATGCAGAAGCTCTTTAGTTTACCATTTGTCAATTTTGGCTTTTGTTGCCATTGCTTTTGGTGTTTTAGTCATGAAGTCTTTGCCCATGCTTATGTCCTGAATGGTATTACCTGGGTTTTTCTCTAGGGTTTTTATAGTTTTAGGTTTTATGTTTAAGTCTTCAATCCATCTTGAGTTAATTTTTTTATAAGATGAAAGGAAGGGATCCAGTTTCTGTTTTCTGCATATGGCTAGACAGTTTGTCCAACACCATTTATTAAATAGGGAATCTTTTTCCCATTGCTTGTTTTTGTCAGGTTTGTTGAAGATCAGATGGTTGTAGATGTGTGGCATTATTTCTGAGGTCTCTGTTCTGTTCCATTGTTCTATATATCTGTTTTGGTATCAGTACCATGCTGTTTTGGCTACTGTAGCCTTGTAGTATAGTTTGAAGTCAGGTAGCATGATGCCTCCAGCTTTGTTCTTTTTGCTTAGGATTGTCTTGGCTTTACAAGCTCTTTTTTGGTTCCATATGAAATTTAAAGTAGTTTTTTCTAGTTCTGTGAAGAAACTCAATGGCAGCTTGATGGGAATAGCATTGAACCTATAAATTACTTTTGGCAATATGGCCATTTTCACAATATTGATTCTTACTATTCATGAGCATGGAACGTTTTTCCATTTGTTTTTGTAATCTCTTAATTCCCTGAGCAGTGGTTTGTAGCTCTCCTTGAAGAGGTCTTTCACATCCCTTTTAAGTTGTATTTCTAGCCATTTTATTCTCTTTGTAGCAATTGTGAATGGGAGTTCACTCATTATTTGACTGTCTGCTTGTCTATTATTGGTGTATAGGAATGCTTGTGATTTTTGCACATTGAATTTGTATCCTGAGACGTTGCTGAATTTGCTTATTAGCATGAACAGTTTTGGGGATGAGACAATGGGGTTTTCTAAATATACAATCATGTCATCTGTAAACAGAGACAATTTGACTTCCTCTCATCCTATTTCAATACCATTTATTTCTTTCTCTTGCCTGATTGCCCTGGTGAGAACTTCCAAAGCTATGTTGAATAGGAGTGGTGAGAGAGGGCATCTTTGTCTTGCTCTGGTTTTCAAAGGGAATACTTCCAGATTTTGCCCATTAAATATGATATTGGCTATGGGTTTTTCATAAATAGCTCTTATTATTTTGAAATATTAAACTTTATATTTAAAGAGCTTCCAAATTCACACCTATAGGCCCTAAATAGTGACTTTAGTCAAAAGTACTCTGAATGAATAGCAAGGCATTGAACAGCTGGAAGTCTGTTGAGTGTGTGTGTATCATTCACAGATAAATCTGATTTTCAGTCTTTCACTTCATTTGGAAAACAGAATTTAAAAATGAGGTAATTTGGTATCCAAGCTGATAAACTGATTCATTGTAAAACTTCATAGGTGAGTAGAGTTGGCAGTGGAAAATAATAATTACCATAAATTTCTAAGCCAAAATTTCATAAATATGATTGGAAAGAGATAAGCAAAATGAAACAGAGCCAAATTATACTTAAGGAATAAAAATTACAGTTATTACTAATAATTAAAATCTAGTTAAATAAATTATTTTATAAATAGACATTTGTGTATTTCACAGAATTATGTCATAGCATATGTTTACTCAAAATCAATAGAGTAACAAGAAATAATTAACACTATTTTTTAAATAATGCTGTATTTACAGAGAAATAAAAGCTGATGAGAACTACACTAAGATATGCCTAAGCAATAAAAACTGTAGAATGTCATTACTGGCCAGAATGGCAAGCATGGGCCTAAAAGAAACCCTAGACAAGTCAGTGAGGCTGACCATACAAACATAGTCCAATTAAATAAAAGCACATGCCATTTGGTTCATGCTCCCTAGGGGTGTGATAGGGCCATTTCCACCATGTCCACTTGTCAAGTATTCTCTGGTGACATGTTCTGGAATAGATAATGGGAAAAACACTGCTCTTTAACTCTTTCAAAAAATGAACTCAAAATCTATATTCATCATTTCTTATTTGAAAACAAAGAAGCAAAGTTCAGGAGAACATAGGATTAAATGAACTTTTATACCCACACTGTATGCACAATCATGCCTGTACACACACAGCACAAACATGTGCAAATTCCCTTGGCTCTCAGCTTCAAACCCTGCTTCACATGAGCTAACAACCAGGACTCCAAATAAAAGATCTGGCCACCCCTGAAATGTTTCCAAGAATGTCAGTAGAGAGGAGAGCAGTCCAGAAAGGTCAGTGATAGAGAGTATGTTCACCCACCCTTGGTTTTTCTCAACTCCTCCACAAGGCAGCGGGCTTCCTCTTGAACACGGTCCTCAATGCTCCTCTTCCCCATCCCAAAATTCCGCAGCGTCATGAGGGAGAAACGCCGGATCTCCTTCCATCTCTTTCCATTGCTGAAAACGATTCCTAACAGGAAGAGAAACGAAACTAGGAGGGAGATCCCAGGCAAGAAAGAGGAAGCTGACACTGGGCAGCCATGTGGATGGGCCAAGCTCTGCCCGAGAAGCTCTGCTAGTCTGTTTTCCATCCTCCCCATCCCCAAGACAGATGCTGAAACAGGCACTTGCACACCTACCAAATCCTCTGTTAGCTCTTTCAGCCAGTGGGAAATGGCCTCTTCCAGAAAACTCCTCTCCAAGATCAATCAGGGCTTCCTTCACCACTTCATATCCATGCAGCACCACCATGCGTTCCAGGCCAAAATACAGAGTGAACACAGGGCCATAGATTTTTGAGAGCTAGAAAAGGAGATACAGTTAACAGCAAATGAAGTCACTGTTTTGTCCATTTACTAAGCCTGACTTAGATTCATATTTTCATTGTATTTGTATGCTTTTATTCAGTCACACAGGCTCAAATATTTCTGAATTTTATATATAAACATGATGATGATTATTATACTTGCCACTCAGATGGCCTATGATGTTCAAGGCAATGGTCAGACAATTGCTACACAGATTACAATTAACCCTCACACCAACATATTCAGCAGGTCTATTTGCTCTATTTTAAACAAACAAACTGAGCTAAGAGAATGACAAATTCATTTTCAGTGTCCCACAGCTAATATACAGAAGACCCAAATTTGAAACTTCACTTATTCAAACACTCATGCTTGAGAAATTTATCAGCACTCTTGTGTCTACCTTAAGACAAATACCCAGCTTCAAGAACTAACAATTTCCTGGTCCAACAGTCTTTTATGATTAGCATGCATCATAGCATTTATAGTAAAAGCACCTCTCTATGGAATCCACCTAGAACTCCCAAAAGCCCATGTAGAGGTCCCGATTGCTGGGCCAATAGTCTCCACAGCAGTACTCCTAAAATTAGGTGGCTATGGGATTATAAGAATCACCCTAATCCTTAACCCCTTAACAGAGTTTATAGCTTATTCCTCCCTCATACTATCCCTATGAGGAATAATCATAACAAGCTCAATTTTTCTGTGCCAAACTGATCTAAAATCACTCATTACTTATTCCTCCATAAGCCACATGTCACTTATTATCATGGCTATTCTCATTAAAACCCCCTGAAGTTTTACCGGTGCAACTGCCCTAATAATTACCCATGGACTAACCTCATCCCTATTATTCTGCCTTGCAAATTCCAACTACAAACAAGTACACAACTAAACTGAGAGGTGAAGCCATCTGGGCTTCTGTGTCGGGTGGGGACTTGGAGAACTTTTCTCTCTAGCTAAAGGTTTGTAAACACACCAATTAGTGCTCTGTATCTAGCTAAAGGTTTGTAAATGCACCAATCAGCACTCTGTAAAAATGTACCAATCAATGCTCTGTGTCTAGCTAAAAGTTTGTAAACACACCAATCAGCACTCTGTAAAATGGAACAATCAGCACTCTGTAAAATGGACCAATCAGCAGGACATGGGTGGGGCAAATAAGGGAATAAAAGCTGGCCACCCAAGCCAGCAGTGGCAACCTGCTCAGGTCCCCTTCCATATTGTGGAAGTTTTGTTCTTTCACTCTTCACAATAAATCTTGCTGCTGCTCACTCTTTGGGTCTTCACTACCTTTATGAGCTGTAACACTCACTGCAAAGGTCTGTAGCTTTTCTCCCAAAGCCAGCAAGACCACAAACCCACCAGGAGGAACGAACAACTCCAGATATGCCACCTTTAAGAGCTGTAACACTCACTGCAAAGGTCTGCAGCTTCACTCCTGAAGCCAGCAAGACCACAAACCCACCAGGAGGAATGAACAACTCGACACACCACCTTTAAGAGCAGTAACACTCACTGAGAAGGTCTGTGGCTTCACTCCTGAAGTCAGCAAGACCATGAACCCACCAGGAGGAATGAACAACTCTGGATGTGCCATCTTTAACAGCTGTAATATTCACTGTGAAGGTCTGCAGCTTCACCCTTGAAGTCAGCAAGACCATGAACCCACCAGAAGGAAGAAACTCTGGCCACATCTGAACATCTGAAGGAACAAACTCCAGACACACCATCTTTAAGAACTGTAACACTCACCATGTGGGTCCGCAGCTTCATTCTTGAAGTCAGTGAGACCAAGAACCCACCGGAAGGAACCAATTCTGGACACATTTTGGTGACAATGAAGGGACTTTTGCCTATTGCCAAGCAGTAAGTACCACTGGATCCCTTTCACTTGCTGTTCTGTCCTATTTTTCCTTAGAATTCAGGGGCTAAATACTGGGCACCTGTCAGCCAGTTAAAAGTGACCAATGGCCGGGTGCGGTGGCTCACGCCTGTAATCCCAGCACTTTGGGAGGCCGAGGCGGGTGGATCATGAGGTCAGCAGATCGAGACCATCCTGGCTAACAAGGTGAAACCCCGTCTCTACTAAAAATACAAAAAATTAGCCGGGCGCGGTGGCGGGCGCCTGTAGTCCCAGCTACTCGGGAGGCTGAGGCAGGAGAATGGCATGAACCCAGGAAGCGGAGCTTGCAGCGAGCCAAGGTTGCGCCACTGCAGTCCGCAGTCCGGCCTGGGCGACAGAGCGAGACTCCGTCTCAAAACAAAAAGTGACCAATGTGGCCACCAGACTAAAGACAGGGGTGTCAGGCTTTCTGGGAAAGGGCTCTCTAACAATCCCCAACTCTTTGGAGTTGGGAGCGTTGGTTTGCCTGGAACCAGCTTCCACTTTTCCTGTATTTCTGGGCTGCGCCAAGGGTTGACAGAGAGGAAAGCCATTCAGCTCCGGGGTCCCGACAACAAGTTGGTTGACCCTGTGGCCATGAGCAGAACTCTCAAAGTCATGTCACCCAAGAGAGACTTGCCTATCTATCCTAGCTATCCTGACCCTTGCCTCCTGGGTCCTAATGCCTGCCAGACAAACTTCCTCTTGCCTCTCTTCTCCAAGGCTAGTCCCGCTTCTAAAAACCACTGCCTGTCTCTGGTGCTTTTCTAGTTTCTCCTACATGAATGATTTCTAGTATAAACTCCAGGACTCTGTTACCTTCTTTAGGCACCCGGGCTCACCAATCAGAAAGACATAATTTTTGCCCAAAGCCCCATTTTAGGGGGTACTATCTGGAATTTTAGAATCCCTCCTCAGACAAGCAGGCCTAACAAAAACTATTCCTGAAGCTAGGATATGGGGATCCTCAGAAATTCTATCCTTCCTGTTCATATAAATGAGGACAAAAGGCATCACACTTCCAACTCTGGAGATCCCTTCCCTCCCTCAGGGTATGGCCCTCCATTTCATTTTTGGGGCATAACATCTTCATAGGACACAGGTAAAGTCCCAATACTAACAGGAGAACACTTAGGACTCTAACAGGTTTTTGAGAATGCATTGGTAAGGGCAACTAAATCTGATTTTTCTCAGTCCTCTTTGTGGTCTACGAGGACAGGCAGGGGTACACGTTTTCAAGAATGCATTGGTAAGGGCCACTAAATCCGACCTTCCTCAGTCCTCCTTCTGGTCTAGGAGGAAAACTAGTGTTTCTGCTGCTGTGTCGGTGAGTGCAACTATTCTGATCAGCAAGGTCCAGGGACTGTTTTGGGTTCTTGGGCAAGAGGTGTTTCTGCTGCTGCATCAGTGAGTGCAACTATTCTGATCAGCAGGGTCCAGGGACTGTTGCAGGTTCCTGGGCAGGTAGAAACAAACAAACCAAAACCATGGAGAGTTTTGTCTTTCCGATGAGAGACAATCAGGCATCAACAGGCTCACCCTTGAAATGCATCCTAAGCCATTGGGACCAATTTGACTCACAAACCCTGAAAAAGAGGTGGCTCATTTTTTTCTGCACTATGGCCTGGCCCCACTATTCTCTCTCTGATGGGGAAAAATGGCCAACTGAGGGAAGTATAAATTACAATGCTATCCTGCAACTTGACCATTTCTGTAAGAGGAAAGCCAAATGGAGTGAAATACCTTATATCCAAGCTTTCTTTTCATTGAAGAAGAATACACAACTATGCAAAGCTTGCAATTTACATCCCACAGGAGGACTTTTCAGCTTACCCCCGTATCCTAGCCTACCTATAGTTCCACTTCCTATTAATGATAAGCCTCCTCTAATCTCCCCTTCCCAGAAGGAAATAAGCAAAGAAATCTCCAAAGGACCACAAAAAACCCCGGGCTATCAGTTATGCCCCCTTCAAGCTGTAGGGGGAGGTAAATTTGGCCCAACCTGGGTACATGGCCGCTTCTCCCTCTCTGATTTACAGCAGATCAAGGCAGACCTGGGGAAGTTTCCAGATGATCCTGATAGGTACATAGATGTCCTACAGGGTCTAGGGCAAACCTTCGATCTCACTTGGAGAGATGTCATGCTATTGTTAGATCAAACCCTGGCCTTTAATGAAAAGAATGTGGCTTTAGCTGCAGCCTGAGAGTTTGGAGAGACCTAGTATCTTAGTCAAGTAAATGATAGAATGACAGCTGAAGAAAGGGACAAATTCCCTACTGGTCAGCAAGCCATCCCCAGTATGGATCCCCACTGGGACCTCGACTCAGATCATGGGGACTGTAGTCATAAACATCTGTTGACCAGTGTTCTAGAAGGAGTAAGGAGAATTAGGAAAAAGCCCATGAATTATTCAATGATGTCCACCATAACTCAGGGAAAGGAAGAAAATCCTTCTGCTTTCCTCGAGTGGCTACAGGAGGCCTTAAGAAAATATACTCCCCTGTCACCCAACTGACTAGAAGGTCAATTGATCCTAAAAGATAAGTTTTTACCCAATCAGCTGCAGATATCAGGAGAAAGCTCCAAAAGTGAGCCCTGGGCCCTGAACAAAATCTGGAGGCATTATTAAAACTGGCAACCTCAGTGTTCTATAATAGGTACCAAGAGGAACAGGCCCAAAAGGAAAACTGAGATCAGAGAAAGGTCACAGCCTTAGTCATGGCCCTCAGACAAAGAAAGCTTGGTGGTTCAGAGAGGACAGAAAATAGCAGGCCAATCACCCAGTAGGGCTTGTTATCAGTGTGGTTTACAAGGACATTTTTAAAAAAGATTGTCCAATGAGAAACAAGCCACCCCCTCACCCATGTCTGCTATGCCAAGGCAATCACTGGAAGGCACACTTCCCCAGAGTGCAATGGTTCTCTGGGCCAGAAGCCCCCAACCAGATGATCCAACAACAGGACTCAGGGTGCCCAGGGTAAGTGCCAGCCCATGTCATCACCCTCACTGAGTCCTGGGTATGTTTAACCATTGAGGGCCAGGAAATTGACTTCCTCCTGGACACTGGTGTGGCCTTCTCAGTGTTAATCTCCTGTCCTGGATGACGGTCCTCAAGGTCCGTTACCATCTGAGAAATCCTGGGACAGCCTGTAACCAGGTATTTCTCCCACCTCCTCAGTTGTAATTGGGAGACTTTGCTCTTTTCACATGCCTTTCTTGTTATGTCTGAAAGTCCCACACCCTTATTAAGGAGGGATATATTAGTGAAAGCTGGAGCTATTATCTACATGAATATGAGAAACAAGTTACCCATTTGTTGTCCCCTACTTGAGGAGGGAATTAACCCTGAAGTCTGGGCACTGGAAGGACAATTTGGAAGAGCAAAAAATGCCCACCCAGTCCAAATCAGGCTAAAAGACCCCACCACTTTTCCTTATCAAAGGCAATATCCCTTAAGGCCTGAAGCTCATGAAGGATTACAGGATATTGTTAAACGTTTAAAAACTCAAGCCTCAGTAAGGAAATGCAGCAGTCCCTGCGACACCCCAATTCTAGGAGTACAAAAACCAAACAGTCTGTGGAGACTAGTGCAAGATCTTATACTCATCAATGAGGCAGTAATTCCTCTATATCCAGTTGTACCCAACCCCTAAACCCTGCTCTGTCAAATACCAGAGGAAGCAGAATAGTTCACTGTTCTGGACCTCAAGGATGCCTTCTTCTGTATTCCCCTGCACTCTGACTCCCACTTTCTCTTTGCCTTTGAGGATCCCTCAGACCACACGTCCCAACTTATGTGGACAGTCTTGCCCCAAGGGTTTAGGGATAGCCCTCATCTCTTTGGTCAGGTACTGGCCCAAGATCTAGGCCACTTCTCAGGTCCAGGCACTCTGTTCCTTCAGTACGTGGATGATTTACTTTTAGCTATCAGTTCGGAAGCCTCATGCCAGCAGGGTACTCTAGATCTCTTGAACTTTGTAGCTAATCAAGGGTACAAGGCGTCTAGGTCAAAGGCCCAGCTTTGCCTACAGCAGGTCAAATATCTAGGCCTAATCTTAGCCAGAGGGACCAGGGCCCTCAGCAAGGAATGAATACAGCCTATACTGGCTTATCCTCACCCTAAGACATTAAAACAATTGTGGGCATTCCTTGGAATCACCGACTTTTGCCAACTATGGATCCCCGGATACAGTGAGATAGCCAGGCCCCTCTGTACTCTAATCAAGGAAACCCAGAGGGCAAATACTCATCTAGTAGAATGGGAACCAGGGGCAGAAACAGCCTTCAAAACCTTAAAGCAGGCCCTAGTACAAGCTTCAGCTTTAAGCCTTCCCACAGGACAAAACTCTTTATACGTCACAGAGAGAGCAGGGATACCTCTTGGAGTCCTTACTCAGACTCGTGAAACAACCCCACAACCAGTGGTATACCTAAGTAAGGAAATTGATGTTGTAGCAAAAGGCTGGCCTCACTGTTTATGGGTAGTTGTGGTGATGGCTGTCTTAGTGTCAGAGGCTATCAAAATAATACAAGGAAAGGATCTCACTGTCTGGACTACTCATGATATAAATGGCATACTAGGTGCCAAAGGAAGTTTATGGTTATCAGACAACTGCCTACTTAGATATCAGGTGCTACTCCTTGAGGGACTGGTGCTTCAAATACATACAGGCATAGCCCCCAACCCTGCCACTTTTCTCCCAGAGGATGGGGAACCAAGGTATCATGACTGCCAACAAATTATAGTCCAGATTTATGCCACCTGAGATGACCTCTTAGAAGTCCCCTTAGCTAATCCTGACCTTAACCTATATACCGAAGGAAGTTCATTTGTGGAGAATGGGATATGAAGGGCAGGTTATGGCAAAGTTAGTGGTGTAACTGTACTTGAAAGTAAGCCTCTTCCCACAGGGACCAGTGCCCAGTTAGCAGAACTGGTGGCACTTACCCGAGCCTTAGAACTGGGAAAGGGAAAAAGAATAAATGTGTATACAAATAGCAAGTAGCTTATCTAATCCTACATACCCATGCTGCAATATGGAAAGAAAGGAAGTTCCTAACCTCTGGAGAAACCCCCATTAAATACCACAAGGGAATTATGGAGTTATTGCACTCAGTGCAAAAACCCAAGGTGGTGGCAGTCTTACACTTCCAAAGACATCAGAAAGGTGAAGGAGAAAAGGCAGAAGGAAACCATCAGGGAGGTGCTGAGGCCAAAATTGCTGCCAGGTGGAACCTCCCATTAGAAATACCTATGGAAGGACACTTGGTATGGAACAAACCCCTCCAAGAGATTAAGCCCCAGTATTCCCTGACTGAAACAGAATGGGAACTTTCACAGGGGCATAGTTTTCTCTCCCCTCAGCGTGGTTAATGACAGAAGAAGGACAGGTACTTATACCTGAAGCCAGCCAGTGGAAAATACTTAAAACCCTCCTCCAAACTTTTCATATGGGTATTGAAAACACTCATCAAATGGCCAAATCCCTATTTACAGGGCCAAATCTCCTCTGGACAATCCGACAGGTAGTCAAAGCCTCTGAGGTGTGCCAAAAGAATAATCCCTTGGTCCATCATAGGGCCCCTTTGGGGGGAACAAAGAATAGGTCACTATCCTGGAGAGGAGTGGCAGTTAGATTTCACCCATATGCCTAAGTCAAAGGGATTTCAATACTTGTTGGTCTGTGTTGATACCTTTACAAATTGGATAGAAGCTTTCCCCTGCAAGACAGAGAAGGCTGAGAAAGTGATTAAAGTCCTAATTCATGAAATAATTCCTAGATTTTGGCTTCCCCAAAGCTTACAGAGTGACAATGGTCTGGCTTTTAAAGCCATAATAACTTAGGGAATTTCCAGGGCACTAGGGATACAATATCACCTTCACAGCACCTGAAGGCCACAATCCTCAGGGAAGGTCAAGAAGGCAAATAAAACAGTCAAGAGGCACTTAAGGAAACTAACACAAGAATCTCATTTCCCATGGCCTACTCTTTACTCTTTTGTCCATGACCTTGTTGAGAATCCGAAATTCTCACAAAATGGGGCTCAGTCCAAATGAAATGCTGTATGGATGGCCTTTTTTCACAAATGACCTCCTACTTGATCAGGAAACGGCCAACTTGGTCAAAGATATAACTTCTTTGGCAAAATATCAATGAAACCTTAAAAACCTACCTGAAGGATATCACAGAGAAAAGGGAACAGAGTTGTTTCAACCAGGAGATCTAGTGTTGATCAAATCTCTCCCCTCTACCTCCCTATCTATGGCCTCTTTGTGGGAAGGACCATACTCGGTAATCCTCTCTAACCCCACTGCTGTTAAGGTTCAGGAATGGAATCTTGGATTCGCCACACCTGAGTTAAATTTTGGACATCCCCTGAGGAACCTGCAGTACCATCAGCTCAGGAGTCCCAAGATCAGCCAGACCAGCCTCAATACACCTGCGAACTGTTGGAGGACTTGCATCTCTTATTTCAGAAGGAAACATCCCAGACTAAAAAGGCTCCTACCACCGATCCTGAAGAAAAACCCCTTCCTCCTTAAAAAAGATAAGTGAAAACCTACATAATCTTTATCTTTAACACCTCTTCTTGCCCCTTTAATGGAACCCTTTTACTATTTCATCATATTATTAAGCAGCATATTAACCATACTCTTTGCAATAGGACTATATACTGTAGCTCCTGCTGGGATGAAAATCCTAATCACATCAACCTTTTTTCTGTCTTCCTTCCTTCTGACAGCAATTTACTCCTACCTTTTACTCGGCCTGGATAAAATGATCTCATCTTCCAGAGCACCATCTTTACCTTCCTATTTATTCTTTGCCTATCTATCCCTCCTGCTTCCTTGGATACCTCAATCACCCCTCCCCTTCCACTAGCTCCTAATTATCTCTACAAGACTCTCAGATTAACCCACTCTTTGTTAAACCAGTCCAATCCTTCCCTGGCAAATGACTGTTGGCTTTGTATCTATCAACCTCTGCTTATGTTGCCACCCCCATTCCCACAAAAAACTGGATCTTTACCAAATTAACCTACCACCTTCATTATGACGGAAAAGACCCTTTCCAACTTCTAAATATGCAATCATTAGCTGACTTCTCCATCTCTGATAGGACCAAGAATACCCTAACAGGACGTGCAATCCAACTTTTACATTCTTACATTTCCAACCTCACCTATTACACAAGCAATGAAAAGCCCATACACAGCCTTGTAACTACAAATACCATCTTAACTTTCCAAGCCCCTGTATGAATGCAATGCAACCTGTTATCAGGCCTGCCCCTGAGGCACCTACTACCCCATCAGTGTAATTACACCCTACAACTTCAAGCCCCAACTGATCATAGTAACTTCTGAGTCACTCAAACAGCTCTATCCAGATGGATTGTCCGCTTCTCAGGGCCCCAAAATATCATCACCTCCTCCCTGCTTAACAAACAGTCCAGGCTTTGTAATGGCAAACATACTCCCTGCATGACCATTCACCCCTGGATCCCCTGCAGCAGCTCCCCCACCACTAGTAAATGTTTTCTCATCCCCTTTCAATCACTCTCTTGAATGGTTCCTAGTAGACACAGAACGGTTTTTTCTCCAATGGGAAAATAGAACACACGGAGCCACTCAGTTTGCTCCCAACACCCCTTTCCAGCCACTCACCAGAGCTACCTTGGCAAGTACTCTAGGAGTATGGGAAAATGAAAACAACAAACACACACCTTTTTAACATACACAACCAGTTGTGTCTACCCAGCCAAGGTATATTCTTCTTATGTGGAATGTCGACCTATATCTGCCTTCCCACTAACTGGACTGGCACCTGCACCTTAGTCTTTCTAAGTCCCAACATTAACATTGCCCCAGGAAATCAGACCCTATCAGTACCCCTCAAAACTCAACTCCATCAGTGCAAAGCCATACAACTAATATCCCTACTTATAGGGTTAGGAATGGCTACTGCTACAGGAACCAGAATAGCCAGTTTATCTACTTCATTATCCTACTACCACACACTCTCAAAGAATTTCTCAGACAGTTTACAAGAAATAACAAAATCTATCCTTACTCTACAATCCCAAATAGACTCTTTGGCAACAGTGACTCTCCAAAACCACTGAGGACTAGACCTCCTCACTGCTGAGAAAGGAGGACTCTGCACCTTCTTAGGGGAAGAGTATAATTTTTACACTAACCAATCAGGAATAGTATGAGATGCCACCCAGTGTTTACAGGAAATGGCTTCTGAAATCAGACAATGCTTTTCAAACTCATACCAACCTCTGGAGTTAGGCAACATGGCTTCTCCCCTTTCTAGGTCCCATGGCAGCCATCTTGTTATTACTCACCTTCAGGCCCTGTATTTTTAACCTCCTTGTCAAATTTGTTTCCTCTAGGATCAACGCCATCAAGCTACAGATGGTCTTACAAATGGAACCCCAAATGAGCTCAACTAACAACTCCTTCCAAGGACACCTGGACTGACCCACTGGCCCTTTCACTGGCCTAAAGAGTTCCCCTCCGGAGGACACTACAACTGCAGGACCCCTTCTTCACCCCTCTCCAGCAGGAAGTAGCTACAGCAGTCATCACCGAATTCCCAACAGCAGTTGGGGTGTCCTGTTTAAAGGGGGGATTGAGAGGTGAAGCCGGCTGGGCTTCTGGGTCAGGTAGGGACTTGGAGAACTTTTCTGTCTAGCTAAAGGATTGTAAACACACCAATCAGTGCTCTGTGTCTAGCTAAAGGTTTGCAGATGCACCAATCAACACTGTAAAAATGCACCAATCAGCTCTCTGTGTCTAGCTAAAGGTTTGTAAACACACCAATCAGCACTCTGTAAAAACAGATCAATCAGCACTCTGCAAAATGGACAAATCAGCACTCTGTAAAATGGGCCAATCAGCAGGACATGGGTGGGGCCAAATAAGGGAATAAAAGCTGCCCACCTGAGCCAGCAGCGGCAACCCTCTTGGGTCCCCTTCCATGCTGTGGAAGCTTTGTTCTTTTGCTCTTCACAATAAATCTTGCTGCTGCTCACTCTTTGGGTCCACACTACCTTTATGAGCTATAACACTCACCGCAAAGGTCTGCAACTTCACTCCTGAAGCCAGCGAGACCAGAAACCCACCAGGAGGAATGAACAACTCCAGACATGCCACCTTTAAGAGCTGTAACACTCATTGCGAAGGTCTGCGGCTTCACTCCTGAAGTCAGCAAGACCATGAACCCAGCAGAAGGAAGAAACTCCAGATGCATCTGAACATCTGAAGGAACAAACTCTGGCACAATATCTTTAAGAACTGTAGCACTCACCACGAGGGTCCGTGGCTTCATTCTTGAAGTCAGCGAGACCAAGAACCCACTGGAAAGAACCAGTTCCAGACACAAAAGCATACTAATAACACGGGGCCTTCAAACACTGCTCTCCCTGAAAGTGATGACCCTTAACTAGCCCCACCAATCTTGCCCTGCCCCCTACCATCAATCTAGTAGGAGTAGTCTTCATAACTACAGCCTCATTCTCTTGATCTGATCATACCATCATGCTTATAAGGCTTAATATACTAATCGCAGCCCTTTACTCTCTGTATATGCTAATAACTACACAATGAGGTGTATTCACATATCATATTAACACTGTTAAAACATCTTTTACTCAAGAAAAAACCGTAATGCTTATACATCTTCTAACCCTCTTTCTACTATTACTAAACCCTAAGGTCATTTTGGGGTTTATATATTGTAGCTATAGCTTAATTAAAACATTAGTTTGTGGATCTAATAATTGAAGTCTATAACTTCTTATCTACCGCTTATCTGCTTTTGCTGGTCCTAAACCCACAGCTGCTTCCTTTACAACAGGCATAAATTATTTCTTCAGAGAAGTTCAATTTTCACGGCTATTCTGAATAAAACACATGGCTAATATAGTAGAGGACTTATTTAATAAAATCTCTAATAACAAACACTTCCCTTACTGTTTACCCTCAGCCAAAAATTCTAGCAAATGGCTATGAAATAAAGAAGGAACACAACATTTCAAACTATTGACAGTTTGTTATTCTGAATTTAACATGCAAAGACCTAAATCTTTCTCTAATAACAAAATATATTATTTCATTCCACTATTTCTGACACTGACAGACTGGAAAAGGCAACAAAAGCCTTTCAAAGTATTTTACTTTACAATGATCTCTTGTAACATTGTACCTCTAGGGATATACTTTATTTAAAAAATACAGGTGAATTTACTTACCTTTTGCAAGCCACTGAAGGAGCATACTTACATTGGTTAAGGATTTGCTGACATCCTTAATATCTATCTGTAGGATATTTCCAATCACTGGGAGAGGAGTGGGGCCAGGAGGGAGTTTTCCTCTCCCAGAGCTCTGTCTCCAGATTGAAAGGAGAAGCAAACATGAGAGACAGAGCACAAGGACCACAAAAGGATCCATTGAAGCCTTCTCCTCTTGTTAAGACAACCGTGAGCTTGCACTCCAAGCTTTTTATAACACTCCATGCTAATTAAGTGTGTGTGCCTCTTTGATGGATAAAGTGGCCAATCACCTAGGCCCACTATATGCTCCTTCTGAAAGGACTTTGACCCACTGATAGAGATAAAAATAAAATGTCCTTTGGTCTTGTTCTCCTTCGTCCCAGTGCCCACTCTGTACATTCTGGTTTCATTGTACTAGGTTGAAGCCTAGGTATTGGTAATAAAAACAAAAAAATGTTAACCCAAGTGGTTCCAATGCACCGTCATAATTGAGAGCACTGAAGTAAACAATCTGATGCAAAAACAATTACTTAAAATTCTGAATTCTTAGATTAATAACCAGTTGGGAATTTATGATTTAACGGAAATGGCCATATTCTATGCCTTGTATATTTAAAAAGTATGTCAATCCTATATCGAAGATTAGGAGACTTTGTCCTTTATAATGAAATCCTCTATTTAATATAGCCTACTAAAAATACAGCAGCCTAAACATGAAATAGCTAACATAACTCATATATCTTCAATAACCAAACATATATCAAGTAAATTACCTTAGCAGATATAAACACCTTTACCATTTAACCCCCTAAAAAAACACGTGAAGGCAGGAATTGTTATTTTTTATATTTCAAATGGGAAAAGGGAGACCCTGGGAGAACAGGACACCTGTTGGTGCCACACAGCTCATAGCTGGCAGAACTGGGATTTGAGCTGAGGTCTTCTGATGCCCATCGTGGCGCATTATCTCTTACATCAGAGATGCTTTGAGAACAGAAGACACAAATTTGAAAAAAAAAATCGTTTGCTAAAACTTTGTTTTAGCAAAACAAAACAACTTCCAAACATTAGTTATTCTGAATATATACCACATTCATCCTGTTCATAAAACAGGCTTCACATTAAATAGAACCACTTATTTATCTAAGGAAAACAGCCCCAGAGATGCTCATGAGAAAAAATAAGAGTTCTCCCTTCTCCATCACTGCAGAGGGGAAACGCTCAGTGTAACTGAAGGAAGAGCTGATCTCAGAGAATTTGGTGCTAAGGGCTTGAGAAACTAAGGCTTCTTGACCTCCTGGTCTCCTCCAGACATGGCTGCTTTATATTGATTTTGCTTTCTGATTTTCAAAAAAAAATGTAACAATGCAAAGCAAGCATAGGAAATTATGGGCAGAACAACAGTTGTGAATCTAATAGAGGATGGGAGGTAGGGAAATCACTAAATGGACCCACAGCACAAAACCACCACAATGTATAGACCTTAACGGGAGCTGACATTTGAGTTGAAGGTCTAAATACAACCAGAAAGATACACATTACTAGATCACTAACGACAATACTTACACAAAGCCATTTTCTTTAAAGATATCATCGTATTTGTTCTAAATTTCCTAATGAGGTTATTTCCAGTTCTCTTATTAAGAAAAAGTAAGTTATGTTAAGACACAATTGCACAATGTTTCACTGGTCATTTTTAACAGGGATTCTAACCCCATTTAGAGAGAATTCTCACACCTCATATCCCTTTGGAATCTCTCAATTGCCTTTGCTTACAATAAAATTGACCCATCTCAGGAATGAGGAGGCTGAGCCTTGAAGATTCAGTACTGTAGCCAAGAACATGGTGTCTGCTGGTGCTAGAGCTGAGACTAGAATTCATAAGCCCTGCATCTTGAAGGTTTCATTTCAAGCAAAACATTCAGTTCAATTGAGTCCACAGATATTTACTGATTGTGTACAATGGTTCAGTATTTCGTGATTCAGTCTAGTAAATGATTTTCAAAATAAATATTAATTTCATTAATAATTACAGCCCAAGTTGACTAGATTGGGGGTCAGAAGAGTTTGGTTTTATAACCTTTAGTACTTGGGTGAGTCCAAGGCCTTGGAGAACCCTTTATACAGGGCAAAGAAAAGCAATAACTTGGTCCCTGACTCACGTAACTTTAAACTCTAACAGAAATATACTACCTTAGTTTGGGTAAGATAAGCTTGGTTGCTCTCTTTAGAATAATCATTTCATTCCTTGAGAGCTAGGTGTTCCAGTTCTGCTCCTCCTCTCTTCTGCTAAGTTGAGGCTCCTCCCTAGATCTTTCAGTTTATACTATGAAAGAATTATAGATAATTTGAAGACAAAAGGGATCTCTGAGATCAACTATTCTAAACAGGAATTGATTTTTTTTTTAAATGAGCAATTGTTGACTCAGTGAGACAAAGTATCACAATGCCTCAGTATAAGACTTAGAATCACAGTTTTTCAACTCCCAGTTCAGTGACATATCACATCCCGTCTCATAGAATTCACATCTCAGTCCAAGTGATCAGGGGAGTATCAACATTAAGCCCTCCACAGTCACTGGGTAATACAAACCTCAGCTTGACTAGAATGGTGGGTTAAAGTAGGCTTTAGAAAAATGTATTTCTTAACAGCAGTTTGGGGTTTCCAGCAACACTAAGTGGAAAGTGGAAAGTATATAATTACCACATGCCTCTTTCCCTGCACCCACACACAGCCTCTCACAATCAAGAACTCTCATAGGTTACAATCAATGAACCAACATTGACACATCAACAACCAAAGCTCATAGTTTCTGTGGGGTTCATTCTTTGTGTTGTACATTCTATGGGATTTGACTAATGCATAATGACATGTATCCACCATTGTAGTATCATATAAAATAGCTTTACTGCCCTTAAAACCCTCTGTGCTCTACCTGTTCACCCTCTCTTCCTCACGAGCCCTAGCAACAAATAATCTTTGCAGTGTTGGCATAGTTTTGCCTTTTCCAGAATGTCATATGTTTGGAATCATACAGTATGTAGCCTTTTAAGATTTAACTTACTAATATGTATAAAATTTCTCCATGTCTTTTCATGGCTTGATAGTTCATTTCTTTTAACACTAAATAACATTCATTGTATAGGTTTACCATGTTGTCTATTCATTTATCTATTGAAGAACATCTTGGTGATTTCTAATTTTTGACAATGATGAATAAAACTGCTATAAACATCCATGTGCAGATTTTTGTGTGGAAATATATTTTCAATTCATTTGGCAAATGCCAAGGAGCACAACTACTAGATAATATAGTAAACATATTTTAGTTTTATTAGATACTGCCCAACTGTCTCCTGAAGTGTCTGTACCATTTTGCATTTCCACCAGCAATGACTAATAGTTCTCCTTGCTGCATATCCTTGCCAGTGTTTGGTTCTATCAGTGTTTTGAATTTTAGCCAGTGTATAAGTGTGTAATAGTATGTCATCGGGGTTTTAGCTTGCAGTTCCCTAATGACATTTAATGATTAGTACTTTTCATATATTTATTTGGTATCTGTATGTCTTCTTGGTGAGGTGTCTGTTCAGACCCGTTGCCCATTTTTTTAATCAAGGTGTCTGATTTCTAATTGTTGAATTTTAAAAATTTTGGATAGCCATCATTTATCAGATATATCTTTTGAAAAATATTTATCCCAGTCTGTGTCTTGTCATCTTATTCCCTTGATACTATCTTTTGTGGAGTAGAAGTTTTAAATTTTAATAAAGGCCAGCTTAGTTATTCTTTATTTCATGGATTGTGCCTTCATTGTAGTATTTTAAAAACCATTGCCAGATCAAGGTCATCTTTATTTTCTCCTACCTTATATTACCAGAGTTTCATAGTTTTGCATTTAGTATTTAGATCTATAATATATTTTTAGTTAACTTGCGTTAAAGATGTAAGGTCTATTTCCAGATTCATTTTTCTGTATGTGAATCTCCAGTTACTCCATTAGTCTTTGTGGAAAAGACTATTATTCCCCATTGAATTGCCTTTGCTTTTTTTTCAAAGATCAGTTGGCTGTATTTCTGATTATCTATTTCAGGCTCTTTACTCACTTGCATTAATCTATTTGACTGTTTCTTCACCAATTTCACATTGTCTTGATTACTGCAGCTTCATAATAAGTCTTGAAGTTGAATCAGACAAGGTTAATCACTTGATTTTGTTCTCCTTAACATTGGCTGTTCTGGGTTTTTTGGCCTCTCCATATAAACTTTACAATCAGACTGTTAATATCTAAAGATAAAAAATAATAAAAATAGAGGCCCCTCATTCCAAGATGGCCAAATACGAACAGCTCCGGTCTGCAGCTCCCAGGGTGATTGATGCAGAAGATGGCTGATTTTTGCAATTCCAACTGAGGTATCTTGTTCATCTCATTGGGACCAGTTGGACAGTGGGTGCAGCCCATGTAGGGCAAGCCAAAACAGGGTGGGGCATCGCCTCACCCAGAAAGCACAAGAGGTTGGGGGATTTCCCTTTTCTAGACAAGGGAAGCCATGAGAGACTGTACTGGGAAAATCAGGACACTGCCACCCAAATACTGTGCTTCCCCAATGGTCTTAGCAAATGGCACATTAGGAGATTCTACACTGTGCCTGGCTCAGCAGGTCCCATGCCCACGGAGCCTTGTTCACTGCTAGGACAGCAATCTGAGTTCGAACTGCAAGGTGGCAGTCTGGTTGGGGGAGGGGCATCCACCATTGCTGAGGCTTGAGTACATAAACAAAGCAGCCAGGAAGCTCAAGCTGGGTAGAGCCCACCACAGCTCAACCAGGCCTGCCTGCCTCTGTAGACTCCACCTCTGGGGGCAGGGCATTGCTAAACAAATGGCAGCAGAAACTTCTGCAGACTTAAACATCCCTGTCTGACAGCTTTGAAGACAGCAGTGGCTCTCCCAGCACAGTGTTTGAGCTCTGAGAACAGACAGACTGTCTCCTCAAGTGGGTCCCAGACCCCCATGTAGCCTAACTGGGAGACACCTCCTAGTAGGGGCTGACTGACACCTCACACAGCCAGGTGCCCCTCCGAGATGAAGCTTCCAGAGGAAGGATCAAGCAGCAATACTTGCTGTTCTGCAATATTTGCTGTTCTGCAGCCTCTGCTGGTGATACCCAGGAAAACAGGCCCTGGAGTGGACCTCCAGCAAACTCCCACAGACCTGCAGCTGAGGGAACTGACTGTTAAAAGGAAAACTAACCAACAGAAAGAACATGCACACCAAAACCCCATCTGTAGGTCACCATGATCAAAGACCAAAGGTAGATAAAACCACAAAGATGGGGAAAAACCAGAGCAGAAAAGTCAAAAATTCTAAAAACCACATGGCCTCTTTTCCTCCAAAGTATCACAGCTCCTTGCCAGCAATGGAACAAAGCTGCATGGAGAATGACTTTGATGAACTGACAGAGGTAGGCTTCAGAAGGTCGGTAATAACAAACTTCTCCAAGCTAAAGGAGGATGTTTGACCCATGGTAAGGAACCTGAAAACCTTGAAAAAAGATTAGACGAATGGCTAACTAGAATAAACAGTGTTGAGAAGACCTTAAATGATCTGATGGAGCTGAAAACTATGGCATGAGAACTATATGATGCATGCATAAGCATCAGTAGCCGATTGAATCAAGTGGAAGAAAGGGTATCAGTAATTGAAAATCAAATGAATGAAATGAAGCAAGAAGAGAAGTTTAGGGAAAAAAGAGTAAAAAGAAATGAACAAAGCCTCCAAGAAATATGGGACTATGTGAAAAGACCAAATCTACATCTGACTGCTGTACCTGAAAGGGACGGGGAGAATGTAACCACCCTGGAAATCACTCTTCAGGATATTATCCAGGAGAATTTCCCAACCTAGCAAGGCAGGTCAACATTCAAATTCAGGAAATACAGAGAACACCACAAAAATACTCCTCAAGAAGAGCAACCCCAAGACACAAAAATGTCAGATTCACCAAGGTTGAAATGAAGGAAAAAATGTTAAGGGCAGCCAGAGAGAAAGGTTAGGTTACGCCAAAGGAAAGCCCATCAGACTAACAGCAGATAACTTGGCAGAAACTCTACAAGCCAAAAGAGAGTGGGGGCCAATATTCAACATTCTTAAAGGAAAGAATTTTCAACTCAGAATTTCATTACAGACAAGCAAATGTTGAGAGATTTTCTCACCACCAGGCCTGCCTTAAAAAGCTCCTGAAGGAAGCACAAAACATGGAAAGGAACAACTGGTACCAGCCACCAAAAACATGCCAGATTGTAAAGATCATCAATGTGAGGAAGAAGCTGCATCAACTAACAGGCAAAATAACCAGCTAACATCATAATGACATGATCAAATTCACACATAACAATATTAACCTTAAATGTAAATGGGCTACAAGGTAATTTATAGATTCAATGCCATCCCCATCAAGCTACCAATGACTTTCTTCACAGAATTGGAAAAAACTACTTTAAAGTTCATATGGAACCAAAAAAGAGCCTGCATCACCAAGTCAATCCTAAGCCAAAAGAACAAAGCCAGAGGCATCACGCTACCTGACTTCAAACTATACTAGAAGGCTACAGTAACCAAAACAGCATGGTACTGGTACCAAAACAGAGATGTAGACCAATGGAACCGAACAGAGCCCTCAGAAATAATGCCACATATCTTCAACTATCTGATCTTTGACAAACCTGAGAAAAACAAGCAATGGGGAAAGGATTCCCTATTTAATAAATGGTGCTGGGAAAACTGGCTAGCCATATGTAGAAGGCTGAAACTGGATCCCTTCCTTATGCCTTATACAAAAATTAATTCAAGATAGATTAAAGACTTACATGTTAGACCTAAAACCATAAAAACCCTAGAAGAAAACCTAGGCAATACCATTCAGGACATAGGCATGGGCAAGGACTTCATGTCTAAAACACCAAAAGCAATGGCAACAAAAGCCTAAATTGAGAAATGGGATCTAATTAAACTAAAGAGCTTCTGCACAGCAAAAGAAACTATCATCAGAGTGAACAGGCAACCTACAAAATGGGAGAAAATTTTTGCAGCCTACTCATCTGACAAAGGGCTAATATCCAGAATCTACAATGAACTCAAACAAATTTACAAGAAGAAAACAAACAAGCCCATCAAAAAGTGGGCAAAGGATATGAACAGACACTTCTCAAAAGAAGACATTTATGCAGCCAAAAAACACATGAAAAAATGTTCATCATCACTGGCCATCAGAGAAATGCAAATCCAAACCACAATGAGATAACTTCTCACACCAAACCACAATGAGACAACTTCTCACACCAGTTAGAATGGCGATCATTAAAAAGTCAGGAAACAACAGGTGCTGGAGAGGAGGTGGATAAATAGGAACACTTTTACACTGTTGGTGGGACTGTAAACTAGTTCAATCATTGTGGAAGTCAGTGTGGTGATTCCTCAGGGATCTGGAACTAGAAATACCATTTGACCCAGCCATCCCATTACTGGGTAAATACCCAAAGGATTATAAATCATGCTGCTATAAAGACACATGCACACATATGTTTATTGCGGCACTATTCGCAATAGCAAAGACTTGGAACCAACACAAATGTTCAACTATGATAGACTGGATTAAGAAAATGTGGCACATAGACACCATGGAATACTATGCAGCCATAAAAAATGATGAGTTCATGTCCTTTGTAGAGACATGGATGAAACTGGAAACCATCATTCTCAGCAAACTATCGCAAGGACAAAAAACCAAACACCGCATGTTCTCACTCATAGGTGGGAATTGAACAATGAGAACACATGGACACAGGAAGGGGAACATCACACTCTTAGGACTGTTGTGGGGTGGGGGGCGTGGGGAGGGATAGCATTAGGAGATATACTTAATGCTAAATGACAAGTTAATGGGTGCAGCACACCAACATGGCACATGTATTCATATGTAACAAACCTGCACATTGTGCGCATGTACCCTAAAACTTAAAGTATAATAATAATGACTAAAAAAAACTAGAAAGAATAATATCATCAATCAATATACAACAAGAAGGCACTTCCTAATAATTGTCAATAAATTTACAATTCCATATCTGTTAAAATTATATTTGAAATGAAATCATGTTACATTTTAAAATGCAGTGTTTTATGCAATTTTCAATAAATACTTCCTACCTCAAAAAAAAAGTTATGTTTACACTATACTGTAGGTTAAGTGTGCAATAGCATTACATATAAAAAGTGTGCATAACAATTTTAAAATACTTTATGACTACAAAATGCTAATGATCATTAGAGTCTTCAGCAAGTCATAATCTTGTTGCTAGTGGAAGGTCTTACCTCAGTGTTGATGGCTGCTGACTAATCATGGTAGTGTTTGCTGAATCTTTGAGTGGCTGTAAAAATTTCTTAAAATGAGACAGTGATGAAGCTTGCCACATTGACTCTTCCTTTCATGAAAAATTTTTCTATTGCATGTGATGCTGTTTGATAACATTTAATCCACAGTAAAACTGCTCCTGAAATTGGAATCAATCCTCTGAAATCCTGCTACTTCTTCCCCAACAAAGTTTATATAATATTTTAAATCCTTTTTTCATCATTTTAACAATGTTCAACAGTAGTAGATTCATTGTCAAGGAAACAATTTCATTGCTCATCTGTAAGAAGCAACTCCTCATCCAGTAGAGTTTGATCATAAGATTGCAGCAATTTAGTCACATTTTCAAGCTCCATTTCTAATTTTCTTGCTATTTCCACCACATCTGCATGCATTTACTTTTTTTTTTTTTTTTTTTTTTTTTTTTTTTTTTTGAGACGGAGTCTTGCTTGTCACTCAGGCTGGAGTGCAGTGGCGCGATATTGGCTCACTGCAAGCTCCACCTCCCGGGTTCATGCCATTCTCCTGCCTCAGCCTCCCGAACAGCTGGGACTACAGGCATCCACCACCATGCCTGGATAATTTTTTGTAAATGTTTTTAGTAGAGACAGGGTTTCACCGTGTTGGTCAGGATGGTCTTGATCTCCTGACCTCGTGATCTGCCCGCCTCAGCCTCCCAAAGTGCTGGGATTACAAGTGTGAGCCACTGCACCTGGCCTGCATTTACTTTCTTTACTGAAGTCTTGAAACCCTCCTAGTCATCTATGAGGGTTGGAATCAATTTCTTCCAATTCATGTTAATATTGATAGTTTGAATCCTCCCATGAATTACAAATGTTCTTAATCTTTTTCAAAAGGTTTTTAATTTAGTTTGCACACATTAATTAGAGGAACGACTATCTCTAGCAGGTGTAGCCTTCTGAACTGTACATATCAAATAAGACTTACAAGTTGAAATTACTACTTGATTCATGACTGCAGAATAAATGTTGTGTTGTCAGTAATGAAAACATCTCCTGATACATCTCCATCAGAGATCATGGGTGCCATGATTAGCTGCATTGTCAAGCAGCAGTAATATTTTCAAAAGAATTTTTTTCTGAGTGGTAGAGCTCAAAAGTGGTCCTCAGATATTCAGTAAATTATGATGCAAACAGATGTGCTGTCATCCAGACTTTGTTGCTCTTTTTTCTTGAAAAAGTTTTTGAAGTATTCCCTTAAATACATTTTCCATGTTGTTTACTTTATCTTCTCTCACAGGAATGCCAATAATTCATAGGTTTGGTTGCTAGACATAATCACATATTAATCAAACCCTTTCTTCATTTTTTTAATTCTTTATTTCTATCTGACTGGGTTAGTTCAAAAGAGTGGTCTTCAGACCCTGAAATTCTTTCTTCAGCTTGGTCTACTCTATTGATAAATTTTTCCATTGTATTCTGAAATTCTTTAAGTGAATTTTTCAATTCCAGAATTCTGATTGATTTTTTTAAAGATGTTTATCTTTTTCTTCATTTCCCAGATTGCTTTAGTAGTTTTTTTGTGTTGATTTTCATTCTTGTCTTGAATTTCACTGATCTTCCTTGCAATCTATATTTTGAATTCTTTATATGTCATTTCTGAGTCCCCATTTTGCTTAGGGTTCATTTCTGGGGAGCTAGCATGATCTTTTGGTGCTTTACAAGATTCAGATATTTCATGGTATCAGAATTCTCATGATGGTTCCTTCTTATTTGGAGAGGCTGCCACTTTTAATTTTTTAGATTATTTTTCTGTGGATAGAATTTTTTCTTTTCCTATTATTTTTTTCTTTTCCTTTATTCTTCCCTCCCTTCCTATGGGGTGTGACTGTAGAGTATATTGGGCAAGGTCTTTTGGCTTTTCTTCTACAGCCCTATGCCCTCTGTCGGCAGATTTTACATTAAACTGTCTGACTCAACTTACAAGCAAGTAGATGGCACTTACAGGTAAGAACCAGCTGTGGCACAAGCAGATGGGTATGTAGTGGATCTTTGTTTACTGTGAGATGTTCTCTGTTGTTTAAGGTGATAGGCTGGACATTGGAGTACCCAGTTCCCTGAGCTTCCTGTTCTGTGGGGATGCAGGGCCACAGCTGGGCAAAGCTGGCTTGCCCATAAATACCTCAGTGATGAGCACAGGCACGGGATTTGATGAGTATGGCTGAGAGGAGCTCCTAGTAAGATTCACTGATGTCTCTGTGAAGGGCAACTGGGCTGCACCAGCTCCGTGTCCTAGATAGGCAGAAACATAATGCTTCCCTCTCACACACACAAAAAAAATTGAACTAATATCCAGCATCTTCTCTGACTACAATGGAATAAAACTAGAAATTGGCCAGGTGCAGTGGCTCATGCCTGTAAGCCCAGCACTTTGGGAGGCTGAGGTGAGCAGATCACCTGAGGTCAGGAGTTTGTCACCAGTCCGACCAACATAGAGAAACTCTGTCTCTACTAAAAATACAAAAATTAGCCAGGCATGGTGGTGCATGCCTGTAATCCCAGCTACTCGGGAGGCTGAGGGAGGAAAATCACTTGAACTCAGGAGGCAGAGGTTGTGGTGAGCTGAGATCGCACCATTGCACTCCAGCCTGGGCAATAAGAGCAAAACTCTATCTCAAAAAAAAAAAAAAAAAAAAAAAACTAGAAATCAATAACAAGAAATTTTGGAAACTATACAAATACATGGAAATTAAACAATACACTCCTGAATGACCAGTGGGTCAATGAAGAATTAAGAAGGAAATTGAAAAAATTCTTGAAAAAAATAATAATGGAAACATAACATACAAAAACCTATGGAATGCAGCAAGACAAGTACAAAGAGGGAGTTTACAGCTATAACTGCTTGCATCACAAACAGGAAAAACTTCAGATAAGCAATCTAATGATGCATCTTAAAAAATAAGTAAAGCAAGAGCAAACCAAACCCAACATTAGTAGAAAAAAAGAAATCACAAAGATCCGAGCAGAAATAAAATTGAAATTTAAAAGCAATACAAAAGATCAATGAAACAAGACATTTGTTTTTTGAAAAGTTAAACAAAATTGACAAACCTTTTTCCTGATTAAGAAAAAAGGAGAGGAAATACAAATAAATAAAATCAGAGATGAAAAAGGAGACATTACAACTGATACTGCAGAAATTCAAAGGATCATTAGTGGCTACTATGAGCAACTATATGCCAATAAATCAGAAAATCTAGAAGAAATTGACAATTTTCTAGACATATACAACCTGCCAAGATTGAACCATGAAGAAATCCAAAACCTGAGCAGACTACTAACAAGTAACAAGATCAAAGCCTTAAGAAAAAAATCTCTCAGTTAAGAAAACCCAGGACCCAATGGCTTCACTGCTGAATTCTACCAAACATTTAAAGAAGTATAATACCAATCCTACTTAAACTATTCCAAAAAATAGAGGAGGAGGAAATACTTCCAAACTCATTCTACAAGGCCAGTATTATGCTGACACCAAAACCAGAACCAGACAAAAAAAAGAAAATTACAGGCTAATATCTCCGATAAATATTGATGCAAATATCCTCAACAAAATATTAGCAAACCAAAATCAACAATACATTAGAAAGATCATGCATAAGTGGGATTTATCACTGGGATGCAAGGGTGGTTTAATATACACAAATTAGTCAATGTGACATACCAATAGAATGAAGGAAAAGAGCAATATGATTATTTTAATTGATGCTGAAAAAGCATTTGATACAACTCAATATCACTGCATGATAAAAGCCCTCAAAAAACTGGGGATAGAAGGAACATACTTCAACATAATAAAAGCCATATATGATAGACCCACTGTTAGTATCATACGGAATGGGGAAAACTGAAAGCCTTTCCTCTATTACCTGGAACATGACAAAGATGCCCACTGTCACCACTGTTATTCAATATAGTACTGGAAGTCCTAGCTGGAGAATTAGACAACAGAAAGATATAAATGGCATCCAAATTGGAAAGGAAGAAGTCAAATTATTCTTGTTTGCAGATGATATGATCTTATATTTGGAAAAGTCTAAAAACTTCCCAAGAAAACTATTAGAACTGACAAATTCAGTAAAGTTGCAGGATACAAAAATCAGTAGCATTTCTATATGCCAACAATGAACAATCTGAAAAAAAATAGAGAAAGTAATTCCATTACAATAGCTACGCATAAAATAAAATATCAGGAATAATTTAACCAAAGATCTATACAATAAAAACTATATAACATTGATAAAGAAATTGAAGAGTACACCAAAAAATGGAAAGATATTCCATGTTGATGGATTGGAAGAATTGATATTGTTAAAATGTCCATACTATCCTAAGCACTCCACATATTCAATGCAATCCCTATCAAAACACCAATAACATTCTTCACAGAAATAGAAAAAATTCTATAACTTATAGAGAACCACAAAAGACCCAGAATAGCCAAAGCTATCCAAAGCAAAAAGAACAAAACTGAAGGAATCACATTACCTGACTTCAAGTTATACTACAGAGCTATAGTAATCAGAACAGCATGATACTGGCATTAAAACATATACATAGACCAATGGAACAGAATGGAGAACCCAGAAATAAATCCACACACCTACGATGAACTCATTTATCACAAAAGTGCCAAAAACATACACTGGGGGAAGGATATTTTCTTCAATAAATGGTGCTGGGAAAACTGGGCATCTATATGCAGAAAAATGAAACTAGACCCCTATCTCTCAACATATACAAAAATCAAATTAAAATAAACTGAAAAATCTAAGACTTCGAACTATGAAACTACTAAAAGAAAGTATCTGGGAAACTCTCCAGGACATTGGTCTTGGCAAAGATTTCTTGAGTAATACCTCAAAAGAACAGACAACCAAAACAAAAATGGACAAATGGGATCATATCAAGTTTAAAAAGATTCTGTGAAGCAAACATTCAACGAATTAAAGCAACAATCCACAGAATTGGAGAAAATATTTACACACTATCCATCTAACGAAGGATTAATAACCAGAACATGTAAGGAACTCAGACAACTGAATATGAAAAAATCTAATAATTATATATTTAAATGGGCCAAAGATTTGAATAGAAATTTCTCAAAAGAAGACATACAAATGGCAAACAGATATATGAAACATACTCAACATCATTAATCATCACAGAAATGCAAATCAAAACTACAATGAGATATCTCTCAACCCACTTAAAATGGCTTTTATCCAAAAAATAGGCAACAATTGATGCTGGCAAGGATGTGCATAAAAGAGAACCCTTGTACATTGTTGGTGGGCATGTAAATTAGTACAATCTCTATGGAAAACATTATAGCAACCTAGTATGGAGGTTCCTCAAAAGCTAAAAAATAGAACTACCATATTATCCAGCAATCCCACTGCTAGATATATACTCAAAAGATAAGAAAATCAGTATATTGAAGAGACACCTGCACTCCCATGTTTATTGCAGCACTATTCATAATAGCCAAGATTTGGAGTGCGTTCAACAGATAAATGGATAAAAAGAATGTGGTACATTTATACAATAGAATATTATTCACCCATAAAAAAGAATGACATCCTGTCATTTGCAACAGCATGGATATAACTGGAAGATATTACGTTAAATGAAATATTATGTTAAAAGAAAGACAAATACATGTTCACTCATATGTGGGGGCTAAAAGTTAAAACAATTGAATTCATGGAGATAGAGAGTAGAATGATGGTGATCAGAGGCTGAGAAGGGTAGCAGAAATTGGGGGATAAAGTGGGGATGGTTAATGAGTGTAAAAATATAGTTATATATAATGAGTAAGATCTAGTATTTGATAGCACAATAGGGTGACTACAATCAATGATAATTTATTGTATATTTGAAAATAACTAAAAGAGTGGAATTGGAATGTGCCTACCACAAAAAAAAGATAAATGCTTGACATGACTCCAATTACACTGATATGATTATTACATTTGATACCTGTATCAAAACATCGAATGTACCCCATAAATACAAGTACCTACAATGTACCCATAAAAATTAAAATTAAAAAAATTAACATGCAGTTACACAATGTTTTATCAGTCACGTTTACAGGGATTCTGACAATTAACATACAATTTTCATACACATCATATTCCTCTTTATTCTCTCAATTACTTTTGCCTCATGTAAAAGTATTCTTATTTTAGGGATGAAGAATCTGGGCCTCAGAAATTCAATATCTTGACCAAGTAAGTACATGGTGTCTGCAGGTGCTATGGAACCCATAACATCTGAGTCTTGCACCCTTTCTCCGAAATAAAACATTCAGTTCAACTGGGTTTGCTAACATTGACTGATTGTGTACTGTGTTTCGATATTTCGTGATTCAGCCTAGTGAGTGACTTGCAAAGTAAATATTAATTTAGTTAATAATTACAGTGCCAATCGACTAAAAAGGGGGTCAGAGAGTATAGTTTTATACACCTTTAGTACTTGAGTGAGTCTAGATCTTAGTTAATTCTGTACCCAGGGTGAAGGGTTACTGCCTAACTCCCATACCTCCAAATTCTAGAAGAACTGCAACTACACCACCTTATTTTGGATAAAATAAGCTCAATTGCTCTCTTTACAGCAATTATTTTATTCCTTGAGAGGTGAGTGTCCCTGATTTGCCCTCCTCCCTTTTGATGAACTAAGTCTCCTGCCTGGACCTTTTATAGAATGAAGGAATCATAGATAAGTTAAAGATAGAGGGGGCCTTTAATTTTGATTCATTTTTAAGGAATGAGCATTTGGTGACCCAATGAGATAAAGTACCACCAATGCGAAAGTGTGTGAGAATTTCAGTTTTTCAACTCCCAGTTTAATGATACTGTGCATCCCATCCTGTAAAACACACATCTCAATCAAAATGATCAGGAGAGTATCAGCATTAAGCCCTCCACAGTCACAGAATAATGCAAACCTCAGCTTGGCAGCAATTGTAGATTACAGTGGGGATTTTTTAATTAGCAGAATTTATTTTTTAGGATTGTTTTGGGTTCCCAGCAAAACTAAGTGGAAAGTACACAGTTCCCACATACTCCCTCCTCTCACCCACAGATAACCTCCCCCACAATTAGTTACTCTCAGCAGTAAGGTTTCATAACTACAATCAATAGACCCATATTGACACATCACCATCAACAAAGTCCAGCTTATATAGGGTTCATATATAATGTATGACATGTATGCAGCACGTTAGTAGCATACAGAATAGTTTCAATCCCCTAAAAGTCCTCTATGCTCTGCCTATTCTTTCCTCTCTTTCCCCAAGCCCTTCGCAAAAAATATAATATTTTAGTGTCACCATAGTTTTGCCTTTTCCAGAATGTCATATAGATAGAATCATACAGTATATAGCCTTTTCAGGTTAGTTTATTTTAGTTACTGGGATGCATATGTTTGCCCCATGTCTTTTAATGGCTTGACAGCTCATTCCTTTTTAACAATAAGCAATATTCCATTGCATGGATTTACCACTTTGTTTGTTTATTCACCTATTGAAAGACATGTTAGTTGCTTCCAGTATTTGGCAATGACAAATAAAAAGTTGTTAAAATCATCCATGTGCAGGTTTTTGTGTAGAAATAAGTTTTCAACTCATTTAAGTAAATACTGAGGTCTCTTGGTCTAAGAAGCATTCCCTGTTTGATTTTTACTGGTCCCACATTAGAAGGAAGTGATCAGTGACTAGGAGTCAGTGCCAAAACCCTTTTAGCCACATCTGAGCAAGAAGGAAGTTTCAGAAAAGTGGTCCCCAGGCTGTCTTCCTGGAGTTTACTGTTAAGTTAATTTTGTCTGTTCTGTAGGTAATGGCTATAATCTCAAAGTGCTGGGCCAGCATTCTTCTGTTAAGAATTGCACTTCTGCAGAAATTTAACAAGTTACAGGTAAAAACACAAGAAAAAACAAGTAACCGTGTGTAGAAACCTGGCTTCTAGAGCTCCCCATTTTACAGTGATTGCATAAAAACTGTCTCTTCTTGGAAGCCTCAAGTAAACTAATAGTAACATGATAATCTCAGTTTGCAAAATAGTTTTAAGCCATGAACCTAGGTTTAAAGGCAACCAATTGAAAAATCAAATGACCACAGGGAATTAACAGATGACTTGTAAGATAAAAGATGAGACGGCCATCTTAAGAAACAAACTAGCTACCATGATGGAGCTGAAAAACCACTGCAAGAATATTATAATGCAATCATAAGTATTAACAGCAGAATAAACCAAGCTGAGGAAAGAATCTCAGAGCTTGAAGACCAGTTCTCCAAAATAACTCATTCAGACAAAAATAAAGAAGAAAGATAAAAGAAGAATGAACAAAACCTCCAAAAAAATATGAGATTATTATCCATTTTCATACTGCTATGAAGAAACATCTGAGGCTGGGTAATTTGTAAACAAGAAAAGGTTTAATGGACTCACAGTTCCACATGCCTAGAGAGGCCTCACAATCATGACAGAAGGTGAGCAAAGGCATGTCTTACATGGTGGCAAGCAAGAGAGCATGTGCAGGGGAACAGCCCTTTATAAAACCATCAGATCTCATGAGACTTATTCACTATCACAAGAACTGCACAGGAAAAACCTGCCCCCATAATTCAATTACCTCCCACCTGGGTCCTTCCTACAACATGTGAGTATTATAAGACCTAAAATTCAAAATGAGATTTGTGTGAGGACAGAGCCAAACCATATTATTCCACCCCTAGCCCCTCCTAAATCTCATGTCCTTACATTCCAAAACCAATTATGCCTTCCCAATAGTCCCCCAGAGTCTTAACTCATTCCAACATTAACCCAAAAGTCCACAGTTCAAAATCTCATCTGAGACAAGGCAAGTCCCTTCTGCCTATGGGCCTGTAAAATCAAAAGCAAGTTAGTTACTTCCTTGATACAATGGGGATACAGGCATTGGGTAAATACACCCATTGCAAATGGGAGAAATTGGCCAAAACAAAGGAGGTACTGGCTCCATACAAGTCTGAAATCCAGTAGGACAGTCAAATTTTAAAGCTCCAGAATGATCTTCTTTGACTCCATGACTCACATCCAGGTCACACTGAAGCAAGAGATAGGTGCCCATGGTCTTGGGCAGCTCCAACCCTGTGGCTTTGCAGGGTACAGCCCCACTCGTGGCTGCTTTCACAGCCTGGTGTTGAGTGTCTGTGGCTTTTCCAGGCACATGGTACAAGCCAAACTGTTGGTGGATCTACCATTCTGGGATCTGGAAGATGGTGGCCCTCTTCTCACAGCTTCAGAAGGCAATGCCCTGGTGGGGACTTTGTGTGGGGGTTCCCACCCCACATTTCCCTTCTGTACTCCCCTAGCAGAGGTTCTCCATTAGGGCTCCACCCCTGCAGCAAACTTTTGCCTAGACATCCAGGCCTTTCCATACATCCTCTGAAATCTAGGCAGAGGTTCCCAAACCTCAATTTTTTTTTTTAAGATGGAGTCTTGCTCTGTCACCCAGGCTGGAGTGCAGTGGCAGAATCTTGGCTCACTGCAACCTCCACCTCCTGGGTTCAAGCTATTCTCCTACCTCAGCTTCCCGAGTAGCTGGGATTACAGATGCCCACCACCACACCCAGTTAATTTTTTTTTATTTTCAGTAGAGATGGGGTTTTTCCATGTTGGCCAGGCTGGTCTCAAACTCCCGACTTCAGGTGATCTGCCTGCCTCATCCTCCCAAAGCACTGGGATTAGAGGAATGAGCAACCACACCTGGCCTCCAAACCTCAATTCTTGACTTCTGTGCACCCACAGGCTCAACACCACCTGGAAGCTGCCAAGGCTTGGGGCTTGCACCATCTGAAGCTACAGGCCAAGCTGTACCTTGGCCCCTTTTAGCCATGGCTGGAGCAGCCGGGATGCAGGGCATCAAGTCCCTAAACTGAACACAACAGGGAGACCCTGGGCCCAGCCCAGGAAACCATTTTTTTCTCTTAGGCCTCTGGGCCTGTTATGGGAGGTGCTGCCACAGAGGTCTTTGACATGCCCTGGAGATATTTTCCCCCATTGTCTTGGTGACTAACATTTGGCTCCTTGTTACTTATGCAAATTTTTACAGCAGGCTTGAATGTCTCCCCAGAAAATGGGATTTTCTTTTCTCTTGCATCATCAGGCTGCAAATTTTCCAAACTTTTATGTTTTGCTTCCTCTTGAACACTTTACCACTTAGGAATTTCTTCTGCCAGATACCCTAAAACATCTCTCACAAGTTCGAAGTTCCACAGATCTCTAGGGAAGGGGCAAAATGCCACCAGTCTCTTTGCATAGCAAGAGTAACCTTTACTCCAGTTCCCTAAAAGTTCTTCATCTGTATCAGAGACCACCTCAGCCTGGACCTTATTGTCCATATCTGTATCAGCATTTTGATCTAAGCCATTCAACACGTCTCTAGGACTTATAGAATAGGAAAATATTCCCACATTTTCCTATTTTCTTCTGAGCCTTCCAAACTGTTATCCAGTTTCAAAGTCACTTCCACATTTTTGGGTATCTTAATAGCTGTGCTCCACTTCCAGGACCAATTTACTGCCTTAGTCAACTTTCATACTGCTATGAAGAAATACCAAGACTGGGTAATTTATAAAGAAAAAGAGGTTTAATGGACTCACAGTTCCACATGGCTGAGGAGGCCACACAATCTTGGCAGAAGGTGAAGGAGGAGCAAGGGCACATCTTACATGGCCACAGGCAAGAGAGCATATGCAAGGGAACTGTCCTTTATAAAATCATCAGATCTCATGAGTCTTATGCACTATCATGAGAACAGCATGGGAAAAACCAACCCACATGATTCAATTACCTCTCACCAGGTCCCTCCCACAATACATGGGGATTATGGGGCCCACAATTCAAGATGAGATTTGGGGTGGGGACATAGCCCAACCATATCAGACATGAAATCTAAGTCTCATTGGTGTCTCTGAAAGAGAGGGAGAGAAAGCAAGCAACTTGGAAAACATATTTCAGGATACTGTCCTTGAAAATTCCCCAACCTCACCTACAGAGGCTGACATTCAAATTCAGAAAATGCAGAGAACCTCTGTGAGATACTATACAAGATGACCATCCCCCAGACACACAGATTCTCCAAGGTTGAAATGCAAGAAAAAATATTAAAGGCAGGTCACCTAGAAAGGGAACCCCATCAGGCTAACAGTAGACTTTTTCGCAGAAACCTTACAAGCCAGACTGGGGGCTCATATTCAGCATTCTCAAAGAAAAGAAATTCCAACCAAGAATTTCATATCCAGCCAAACTAAGCTTCACAACTGAAGAAAAAATAAGATCCTTTTCAAAAAGACAAGCAAATGCTAAGAGAATTTATTACAAGACCTATCCTACAAGAGGTCCTGAAAGGAGTGCTAAATACGGAAAGAAAATGTCATTACTGGCCACCACAAAAACACACTTAAGTACACAGATCAGTGACACTATAAAGCAATCATACACACACACACACACAAAAGGCTGTATAACAAGCAGCTAACAATATGATGACAGGATCAAACCTGTACATGTCAATATTAACCTTGACTGTAAATGGGCTAACTGCCACAGTTGAAAGGCACAGAGTGGCAAGTTGGATAAAAAAGTAAGACTCAACTGTATGCTGTCTTCAAGAGCTCCACCTCACACGCAATGACACCCATAGGCAAAAAGTACATTTGCAGAGAAAAATCTACCAAGTAAACGGAAAACATACACAAAAAAGCAGAAGATGCTATTCCAATTACAGACAAAACAGCCTTCAACCCAACAAAGATCAAAAAAACACACAAAAGGCATTACATAATAGTAAAGGTTCACTTCAACAAGAAGACCAGACCATCCTAAATATTTATGCACCAAATACAGAAGCACCTAGTTCATAAAGCAAGCTCTTAGAGACCTGCAAAGAGACTCAGATAACTGCACAATAATAGTGGGAAACTTCAACACCCCACTGACAGCATTAGACAGATCATCAAGGCAGAAACTAACAAAGATGTTTGGAACTAGAACTTGACACATGACCAAATGGGCCTAGTAGACATCTACAGAATGCTCCACCCCAAAACAACAGAATGTATATTCTTATTGCCACATGGCACATACAGTAAAATAGGCCACACAACTGACCATGAAACAATTCTCAGCAAATTCAAAAAAATCAAAATCATACCAACCACACTCCTGAACCACAGTGCAATAAAAATATAAATCAATACTAAGAATATCACTCAAAACCATACAATTACATGGAAATTAAACAACATGCTCCTGAATGAATTTTGGGTAAACAATGAAATCAAGGCAGAAATCAAGAAGCTCTTTGAAACTAATGAGAACAAAGATAAAGCATACCAGAATCTCTGGGACACAGCTAAAGCAGTGTTAAGAGGGAAACATTTAGTGCTAAATGCCCACATCAAAAAGTTAAAAGGATCTCCTAGTCAGCAGGGCTATTATTAAAAAGTCAAAAAACAACAGATGCTAGCAATGTTGTGGAGGAAAAGGAACGTTTTTACACCATTGGTGGGAGTGAAAAGTAGTTCAACCATTGTAGGCAGAAATGCCATTTGACCCAGCAATCTCATTACTGAGTATATACCCAAAAATATATAAATTATTATATTACAGAGATACATCCAGCCAGGTGTGGTGGCTCACGCCTGTAATTCCAACACTTTGGGAGGCAGGTGGATCACCTGAGGTCAGAAATTTGAGACCAGCCTGGCCAACATGGTGAAACTGTCTCTACTAAAAACAGAAAAATTAGCCAGGCATGGTTATGCATGCCTGTAATACCAGCTACTCAGGAGGCTAGGGCAGAAGAATTGCTTGAACCCATGAGGTGGAGGTTGCAGTGAGCCGAGATCATGCCACTGCACTCCAGCTGGGCAACAGAGTGACAGTCCATCTCAAAAATAAATAAATAAATAAAAGATACATGCATGTGTATGTTTATTGCAGCACTATTCACAGTAGCAAATACATCTAATCAACCTAAATGTCCAACAATGATAGCCTGGATAAAGAAAATATGGTACATATACACAATGGAATACTATGCAGCCATAAAAAGGAACAAGATTATGTCCTTTGCAGGGACATGGATGGAACTGGAAGCCATTATCTTCAGCAAACTAACACAGGAACAGAAAATCAAATACCTCGTGTTCTCACTTATAAGACAGAGCTGAATGATGAGAATACCTGGACACATGAAGGGAAAAACACACACTGGGACCCGTCAGAGGGTTGGGAGTGGGAGGAGGGAAAGCATCAGGAAGAATGGCTAATGGATGTTGGGCTTAAACCTAGGCAATGGAATGATCTGTGCAGCTACCCCACCATGGCAGACATTTAAGTATGTGACAAAGCTGCATAACCTGCACAAGTACCCCTGAATTTAAAATAAAAGTTGGAAATCAAAACAAAATTAGAAAGATCTCAAATTAAAACCTAACATCACACCTAGAGGAACCAGTAAAACAATGAGCAAACCAACCCCAAAGCTAGCAGAAGACAAGAAATAACCAAAATCAGAGCTGAACTGAAGGAAGTCAAGACATGAAAAACCATATAAAGGACCAATGAATCCAGTTTGTTTTTTGAAAGGATAAATAAGATCAATAGACTGCTAGCTACACTAATAAAAAGACAACATCCAAATAAACACAACAAGAAGTGAAAAAGGGGACATTACCACCAAACCCACAAGAATACAAAAGTCATCAGAGACTACCATAAACACTCTTTGCATACAAGCTGGGAAACGTAGAAGAAACAGGCAAATTTCTGGAAACATACAACCTCCCAAGATTGAACCAGGAAGAAATCAAATCCTTGAACAAACCAATAATGAGTTCCAAAATTGAATTAGCAATACAAAGCCTATCAACCAGGGAAAAAAAAAAAAAAAAAAAGCCCAGGACCAGATGGATCAATAGCTGAATTCAACCAGATGCATAAAAGAACAGGAACTATCACTATGGAAATGATTCCCAAAAAATGAGGAGGAGGGATACCTCAGTAACCCATTCTTTAAGGCCAACATTTTCCCAATATTAAAACTTGGCAGACGCAAACACACCAAAAAAAAAAAAAAAAAAAAAAAACTTCAGGTCAGTATCTTTGATGAACATTGATGCAAAAATCCTCATCAAAATTCCAGCAAACAGAATCCAGCAGCACATTAAACAGCTAATCCATTACAGTCAATTAGGCTTTATCTCTGGTATGTAAGATTGGTTTAATGTACACGAATCAGTAAACGTGATTCATCACATAAACGGAATTAAAAACAAAAACTATGTGATTATCTCAATATATGCAGAAAAGGCCTTTGATAAAATCCTACATCCCTTCATGTTAAAAACCCCTCAACAAAGCAGGCTTTTAAGAAACATATGTCAAAATAGTAAGAGCTATCTTATCCAATAAACAAGAATAATTTAAAAAGAAAGAGAGAAAGACAAAGGAGGAATAAAGAAAAGAATAAGAGTGGTCAGTGACAAACCCACAGCCACATATACTGAATGAGCAAAAGCTAGAAGTATTTCCCTTAAAAACGGGACCAAGGCAAGGTTGCCCTCTCTTACCACTCCTATTAAACATGGTATTGGAATTCCTAGACAGAGCAATCAGGCAAGAGAAAGAAATAAAACTCACCCAAATTGGAAGACAGGAAGTCAATCTATCACTGCAGATGATATGATTCTAGGCCTAGAAAACCCAAAGTCTGTACCCAAAAGCTCCTTGATCTGATAAACAATTTCAGCAAAGTTTTGGGAAATAAGATTTATGTACAACAATTCATAGCATTTCTATATACCAACAACATCCAAGCTGAGAGCCAAATCAAGAACACAATCCCATTCACAACAGCCACAAAAAGAATAAAATATCTAGGAATACAGCTAACCAGGGAAGTGAAAGAGTGCTACAAAGAAAACCACAAAACATTGATGAAATAAATCAGAGATGACAGAAGCAAATGGAAAAACATTCCATGCTAATGGATTGGAAGAATCAATGTTATTAAAATGGCCATACTACTCAACACAATTTATAGATTCAATGCTATTTCTATAAACTATCAATGACATTCTTCTCAGAATTAGAAAAAAACTATGCTAAATTTATATGAAACCAAAAAAGAGCCGGAATAGCCAAGGCAATCCTAAGCAAAAAGAACAAAGATGAAGGCATCACATTACCTGACTTCAAACTATACCATAAGGCTACAATAACCAAAACAGCATGGTACTGGTACAAAAACAGACACATAGGCCAATGGAACAACATACAGAGCCCATAAATAATGCTACACACCTACATCCATCTGATCTTCAACAAAGTCAACAAAAACAAGCAATGGGAAAAGGACTCCCTCTTCAATAAATGGTGCTGAAATAATTGGCAAGCCATATGCAGATGACTGAAAGCGGATCCCTTCCTTTCACCATATACAAAAGTCAAGATGAATTAAAGACTTATATATAAAACCTAAAACTGTAAACACCTCGGAGGATAATCTAGGAAATACCATTCTGGACATAAGGCCTGGCAAAGATTTCATGATAAAGATGCCAAAAGTGATTGCAACAAATGCAAACATTGACAAATGAGACCTAAATAAACTAAAGAGCTTCTCCACAGCAAAAGAAACTACCAACAAAGTAAAGAGACAGCCTACAGAATGGGAGAAAATATTTGCAAACTATGCACCCAACAAAGGTCTAATATCCAGAACCCATGAGGAATTTAAACAAATTAAAAAGCAAAAAATTAACAATCCCATTAAAAAGTGGGCAAAGAACATGAACAGACACTTTTCAAAAGAAGTCATACATACAGCCAATGAACACTTAAAAATGCCCAACATCACTAACCATTAGAGAAGTGCCAATCAAAACCACAATGACATACCATCTCACACCAGTCAGAGTGGCTATCATAATAAAAACTCAAAAAATAACAGATGCTAGCAAGACTGCAGAGAAAAAGGAATGCTTATAGACTCCTGGTGGGAATCTAAATTAGTTCAGCCACTTTGGAAAGCACTTGGGTGATTTATCAAAGAACTTAAAACACAATTACCACTCAACTCAGCCATCCCATTACTGGGTATATACTACCCAAAGGAATATAAATTGTTCTACCATAAAGACATATGTATGCATGCACATGTTCATTGCAGCAATATTCACAATAGCAAGAACATGGAATCAACTTAAATGCCCATCAATGGTATACTGGATAAAGAAAATGTGTACATATACACTGAGGAATACTACACAGACATAAAAAAGAACAAGATCACATCCTTTGCAGGAACATGGATGGAGCTGGCGGCCATTATTCTAAGAGAACTAACACAGGAACAGAAAACCAAGTAGTGCATGTTCTCACTTATAAGTGGGAGCTAAACATGGAGAACACATGGGCACAAAGAAGGGAACAAGAGACCCTGGGGCCTACTTGACGATGGAGGGTGAAAATCGAAAAACTGCCTATCAAGTACTATGCTTATTACCTGGGTGATGAAATAATAATCTGTATACTAAACTCCTGTGACATGAAATTAACCTGCATACCAAACCTGCACATGTACCTTGAACCTAAAAGTTAAAAAAAAGAAATAAACAACAAATCTGAGATTCCTCTGTGATCAATGTAGAGAGAAAAAGTATGTTTGTAGAGAAAAGTTACATCTGTTACTGGATTGTAGACCTGTGCATTGTTTTCTAGTTCTTGTTATCTATCTACAGACTAGACTAGATCCTGAATTCTTCTAGATTTCTCTAATCCCATTTTCTTCTATGAAATTAGTAAAACTGGGAACTGATCTGTTCCTGAAACCCTATAATCTGAAACTAGATTAATTTTAAGGGATGAGTCTCATTCCTGATGTGTGGAGCACACAGAAAATTTACCAAACCTCCCAATGCCCATAACCAGAGACATTCAAACTGCAAACCAGGATGAGAAGTTGATGGCTTCATGGCTTCATGCTATTGACAGCATTTCCCACAACACTAGAAAAAGACTCCATATCATAAGACTCTTATCACTATTAATGCCTATGATTTTCACTTAACTTAGAGAATCTTTAATCCACCTGGAGGGTAACTTCGGGCAACATTGCTAATACAACCACTGCTCACTCCCTGCTTTAAGCTCAACACAGTCATGGGATAGTAGTGTTGGTGAAAAAGTTGCTCTATATTATCTATTACTTCAATAAGGAAATGTCTGTTTTACTGCTAATACTACAAGTAATGTAGCTTTAATGTATACTTTTTATTTTTAAGCTATTTTAATACTTTTAATAGCCATTTCATATTTTCTTCCGTAATCTGCCCAATGAAATGACTTGTCAGGTTTCTACTACCTTGGAAGTTTTCCTGGCATATTGTTTATTACAAAACATGTCTTTTGCAGGAAAATTGAAGGATCTGGAGGCCATTATCATTAGCAAACTAACAGAAACAGAAAACTAAATACCACATGTTCTTGCTTATAAGTGGGAGCTAATTGATGAGAACTCATGAGTAAAAAGAAGGGAACAACAGACACTAGGGACAGCATGAGGGTGGAGGGTGGGAGGAGGGAGAGGAGCAAAAAAAAATCACTATTGAGTACTAGGCTTAGTACCTGGGTGATGACATAATCTGTACAAAAAACCCGTGACATGAGTTTACCTATATAACAAACCTGCATGTGTACCTCCTAAAATAAAAGTTAAAAAAAAGAGCAAGTTGTATAATATAATAATATGTGTAATATGAACTCATTATATTAAAGAACCACTATCAATCTCATATATACATGTGTATATATTATATGTAAATATACACCTATGCAGACATATGTGCGTGTGTGTTTATAAAACTATACACATGAGTTATCTTACAAATGCATGATAAGTATAAAGGACTTTCTCTTGGAGATGAGCTGGGAAAAGGTTAATGTGTCACTTCTCATTTCATACACTTCAAGACAGAAGGAAGGAAAAAAGATGACTAGAATTTGATGTGTATGATTTGTTCACTTGTTTAAGCTTTAGAGTTGACATAAGGCTAATAATTTCAGGATCATAGCATCTAATTACCATTGCATTTATGTTCAGTAAAATAAAAGTATGCAGTGCAAAATAGAAAAAAAATAAAGCCTGGTGAGGATTTCTGGAGATTTTGCTCTTGTTTGGAAGAGAAAAATAACAGTCATTAACACATGATTAGCCATATGAAAGCATATATTTAGACATGATCTAAGTTGGAAACACAAAGGAAAAAGATTATCCAAATCTTGATCTTGTGTTTACAGTAACACAAAAGCAGAGCATGAATTCAAACACTTAATGTTCATCCCTCTTATGGATGATTGTTCCAGTATTTCCCTACAGGTTACAGCTGCTCCTGGACATAGTTTTTTTTTCCAAATTCAGACCTCCAATAACTCTAGGTGGCATTTAGCTAAAACAGCTTTCCTACCCTCTTACCTTTCTCCCTTTTTGTGCTTAACACTATGAGGGCCAGCACAGCCTCTTCACATTCTATTTTCTTTCATTTCTTACTTTCATTTTACTCAAAAGAAAGAAATCTAAGAACTGACCCAGTAAATAATAATCATTTTTATCTAGAGCATGCAGAGAATAAATGGCTCTGAATTGTCATTTATTAATCATTTTTCTTTGTTTTCTAGTGATAACATACTGACAACTCAGCAGTAGATAGGTATTAGCATATGTGGTGGTCAATACAAGTGATACAGAGTATGGAGAATAGCAGATATATTTAGGAAGTGACCCAAGAAACTCTCTTTAATGGAGGTTGGATGTTCATTGGATCTTGAGGGAATGGGAAGATGTGGATTGACAAGTCAGAGAAAATATCCCTCACAGAGAGAAGGGAGAGGCCAATGGCCCTGATAAGGGAGAATTGCAGGTGACAGCACAGGAGCAGCCAAACTATCTGCCCTTCTTCAGACAGGAATGAAGCAGAGCTGGTACAAGGGTGGCACACGACCAAATGCATTGGCAATGGGGGTGATGTCAATATCCTTTGGGTCAACCTGAGATTTCAGGTTAAAGTTCTGCAAAATGGTGGTCAGGAATAAAAACAGCTCCATGCGGGCCAGGCCCTCTCCCATACACATCCGTTTTCCTGAAAATAAGAGACATAGGGGATTTGTTCCTTGAACATTAGGTCATGAACAGTCACAAAGAGTATGCAGTAACTATTTGATAAATGATTAAATAGATGGATGGATCGAAGGCAGAATGACTGGAAGGATGGCTGGATACACAGAAAAACAAAAATGAATACACTTCCTATCTACTTAATATCTTATTTTACTAGGCACCCTTCACTCAACAAATATTTATGGAGTATCAGCTCTATGCCATGCACTTCACTAAGTGTTCCCACGTTATAACTGCTCTTTTGACACTACAAGTTTCCATCAGTCTTTTTCTAGAAATGCATTCACAGGGAAGATGGGCTGAAAAGAGAAGGCTCATATAGTGTGTTCCCCTTTGTACTTCTGGCACAATGTTTAGCCAAAGATTTTTTTTCCTAGTGTACTTTCAAAAGTACATGTCTAAACATGTCAGTCTCTCATTTTACAACTTTAAACAACACCCATCTGTCCTATGGGATAAAGGCCAAATGGCTTGACCTGACTCTTCACATTCTGTTCCCAGTCTGATGTTCTATATCACTCCTTCCATTCTTCATCTCCTCCACTCTCAGCTCTAGGCATATCCATTCTTCATCAATTTCCAACACACCACAAAGTTTCAAGCTTTATCTCTTGCTGTCACATCTGCCTAAAAAGCTCTACTCCTATGCTTCCTTCAGAAGCTATGCCCCATGTCATTTCCTCTTTATGATTTCTGTGATCCCTAGTCAATAGAAACTCACCCTCTCTAGGTTTCCTCATCATATTCATGCTTCCACTGGAGCATAGATCACCGGGAATTCTATTATCTGTGTATTTACTTTTCTATCTTGCTAAAACGTGAAATCCTTAAAAGAAGGCCTTAGTTCTTGACATCTCAGTGTATACAGTGCCAGATCCAAAGCAGGGATCAAAAGCCAGAGGAAAAAATGAAGGGAACTCTATGTCCACAGACTCACCACACACTTTAGCTGTAGAGATTGAATATCCAAGATGTATGATCATGAGTGGAGGGAGATCAAGGTGCTCTGGAATTATTGCAGACTATCCTTCCACATTCCCAGGGTTTTCCTGACCCTGAAATTTGTTGGTAGGTTCTGACCCCCTAGATCTACAGAAAATGTCCTGCTACTATGGTCCATTACCTCTGTAAAAGTGCCTTGCCTTCTCTTCTTGTCCTGTTTCCTGCTGCAATGAGGCAGCTTAAGTTTCCTTCCTCTTGGAAGTGGTATGGCCTATGAATGAGCAGGAAGCAGGCAGATTCCCCCACTGAGCTCCCCAACATCCTGCGCTTTCCCCTCTGGCAGCCTTCCTCCTACTAGATTACAATGATCTGTTTACTTGTCTACTTCTCTAAATCAGGAGTGAGCCTCTTAAGAGCCCATTCTCTGCTCTCAGATACTTGTATCTCCAGAGCTCAGTCTAGGGAGCTAGGGACACCACAGGGAAGATATTCAAAGTTGTGGAATTAGATACTTTTCTCATGGCAGATGAGAAATGTCTAAATAAGTTTCACCCATTAAGAAGAGCTCTTGGGTAGCTCAGTGATGTATCTAGAGGCAGAATTAAATTAACCTACATTCTAGCTTTTTCAGTTTGAAAAACTGGATCAACTCCCCAAAGCCCCACTAACCTGGCCCAATAATGGGGATGTTCATCAGCAGGGAAATCGCATGGGCATAGGGAATGGTGCTAATGATCTGCAAAGCAATTCAGCCAAACCTCAGAGGTGGCATCATGTAAGAGTCAACTGATCCCAAAAAGGTATCATGTGCCCTGAAGGACAGATGGAAATGAATATCTATTACCTGCTGAGAAAGGCATGAAGTAGTCACTTTTCTTAAAGTTGCCACTCTTATCCAGAAAGTGGCCAGGGTCAAACATCTCTGGGTTGGGGAATTCTTTGTCATTGTGCAGCACAGAAGTCAGGGATGTTATTATGGTCGTGCCCTGAAAATAGCAAAACAGACAAACTAAGTTATAAAGAAGTCAAAGAGTGGGAAGAAGTGATGGAAATCACCTAGTCCAATCTCTTTTATCAATAGATAAGAAAATTGAGGTCCAAAGAAGTTACATTCCCACCCAGACAGACCTAGTAAGAAGCAGTATGACTTTAAGGCAAGTGGCAGTGACTTTGCTGAAGTCCCCTCCAATTAATTGCACTTGAAGTCCTGAGCATTTGAGTACTCGGGGGCAGCCTTCTGAATCCCGGTTTATCATCAAGCTTGGACCCTGGTGTACATCCCCACTTGCTGCTGTATTTCATCACTTCAGTTTTCACACACCTCACACATGGATTACCTTTTTTGTTGTTGTTTGCAGGACTGTTACATGGGTATATTGTGTGATGCTGAGGTTTAGGGTACAAATAATTCCATCACCCGAGTAGAGAGCACAGTATCCAACAGGTAGTTTTTCAACCCTTCCTCCCCTTCAGCCCCCATCTAGTAGTCCCCAGTGCCTATTGTTGCCATCTTTATGTCCATGAGTACTGATGTTTAACTCCTCCTTGTGAGAACGTACAATATTTGGTTTTCTGTTCCTGCGTTAATTCACTCCAGCTGCATCTATGTTGCTACAAAGGACAAGATTTCATTCTTTTTTATGGCTGCATAGGGTTTCCTGGTGTATTTGTACCACCTTTTCTTTATCCAGTCCACTGTGGATGGGCATTTGGGATGATTCCAATCCTTTGCCATTGTGAATAGTGTTGTAATGAATATACAAGTTCACATGTCTTTTTAGTAGAATGATTTATTTTCTTTTGGAAATATATCCAGTAATGGGATTGCTGGATCAAATTGTAGTTCTCTTTTAAGTTCTTTGAGAAACCTCCAAACTGCTTTCCACAGTAGCTGGACTAATTTACATTCCCACCAAGAGCCTATAAGTGTTCCCTTTTCTCCACAGCCTTGCCATCATGCATTGTTTTTTGACTTCTTAATCATAGCCATTCTGACTGATGTGAGATGGTATCCCATTTTGGTTTTGATTTGCATTTCTCTGATGTTTAGTGATGTGAAACATTTTTTCATATGTTTATTGGCCACTTGTATGTCTTTTGAGCAGTGTCTGTTCATGTATTTTACTTTTTAATGGCATTATTTGTTTTCTGTTTGTTCAATTGTTTAATTACCTTATAGGATATTAGACCTTTGTCAGATGCATAGTTTGCAAATATTTCCTCCCATTCTGTAGGTTGTCTGTTTACTTTGTTAATAGTTACTTTTGTTATGCAGAAGCTCTTTAGTTTAATTTGTAACTAAATTATCAATTTTAAGTAACATATCAATTTTTTTTCATTGTGATTGCTTTTGAGGACTTAGTCATGAATTCTTTCCCAAGGCCAATGCCCAGGATGGTGTTTCCTAGGTATTTCTTTTGCAATTCTTATAGTTTGATGTCTTACATTTAAAACTTTAATCCATCTTGAGTGCATATTTATATATGGTGAAAGGATGGGGTCCAGTTTCATTCTGCATATGGCTAGCCTGCCATCCCAGCATCATTTATTGAATAGGGAGTCTTTTCCCATTGCCTGTTTTTTGTCAGCATTGTTTAAGATTAGATGGCTGTAGGTATGCTGCTTTATTTCTGGGTTCTCTATTCTGTTCCATTGGTCTGTGTGTCTGTTTTTGTACCAGTACTACGCTATTTTGGTTACTGTAGCCTTATAGCATAGTTTGAAGTCTGGTAGCGTGACGACTCCAGCTTTGTTCTTTTTGCTTAGGTTTGTTTTGGCTATTCAGGCTTTTTTGTTTCCATATAAATTTTAGAAGAGACACTGGTAGTCGGATAGGAATAGCATTGAATCAGTAGATTGCTTTGGGCAGTATGGCCTTTATTTTTTTATTTTATTTTTTTTTTGAGACAGAGTCTCACTCTGTCACCCAGCCTGGAGTACAATAGTGTGATCTCTGCTCACTGCAAGCTCCACCTTCCGGGTTCACGCCATTCTCCTGCCTCAGCCTCCCAAGTAGCTGGGACTACAGGCACTTGCCACCTTGCCTGGCTAACTTTTTGTATTTTTAGTAGAGATGGGGTTTCACCATGTTAGCCAGGATGTTCTTGATCTCATGACCTTGTGATCCGCTGGCCTTGGCCTCCCAAAGTGCTGGGATTATGGGCATGAGCCACCGCACCTGGCCCAGTATGGCCATTTTAACAGTATTGATTCTTCCAATCCATGAGAATGGAATGCTTTTCCATTTGTTTTTGTCATCTATGATTTCTTTCAGTAGTGTTTTGCAGTTTTCCTTAAAGAGATCTTTCACTTCCTTGGTTAGATGTATTCCTAGGGATTTAATATTTTGTGGCTATTGTAAATGGGATTGCGTTCTTGATTTGGCTCTCAGCTTGAACATTATTGATATACAAAAATGCTATTGATTTTTGTGCATTTATTTTGTATCCTGAAACTTTACTGGTCATTTATCCCTTCCAGAGGCCCTTTTGGAAGAGTCTTCAGAGTTTTCTAGGTGTAGAATCATATCATCAGTGAAGAGAGATATTTCGATTTATTCTTTTCCTATTTGAATACGTTTTCTTTCTTCCTCTTGCCTGATTGCTCTGGCTAGGACTTCCAGAAGACAGTTTTTAAATAGAAGCCTCTAAACATACCTGGTCTTCATTAATTCCTCTTTGGAACTGGGAAAGAGATCCCTGTGGCTATTAAAAAGTGGGGAGGGTTCTTATACACCACTAATTATGAAGCAAAAGGTTTATTTACTTAAAATGTCATTTAAAGATACTTAAACTGCATGCAAACTTTATTTACTGTACAGAGTTCTGGATGTATTTATCAAACAGAAAAACCACCCTTGACTTGGTTGTTCACCTGTTTTGTGATTTCCCTTGAAAAGAGAAATGAATTGTCATAGCTATTGATATTTTACTAGGTAATGTTCTGTTACACTGAAAGGGATGTTTTTAAAAAACATTATTTGGAAACAAGTTTTCAAGTAGGGGGACAGTTGCTTACATAATATCTTGTATATTCACATCCTAAAAATTTTCATTTATGAGTATGGGATGTGTATATATGACTTAGCCCCAAGTTAACTGTGCTGATTAACAAGTACTTATAAAAATAGCTAAAATAGAAAATTAATGATCAGTTGTACTAGAGGAACATCATAGAAGAGAAAAATCCAACTCTTTATATTAAAAATGAATACAATAAGAAAACTGCAAAAGAGACCAAAATGAACGTGTTTTGTAAATTGTTACAGGAGCAAAAACTTCTCAACTAGTTTTCAACATACTTTAGATTTAAATGTTGTTTGGACAGTTTTGTCTTCAACTTGGACCAGTTGTAGATTGTTACAGGCTTCCTAGGATTTAGCATTCCTATTTTCTCTACCAAAGTTTTTTTAGAAGCATCCCAACTCTTCTCTTTGTTGATAAATAAGCCTTTCCTGTCATCTTCATTTTAACTTGCTAAAACCCTAGATACAAAAGTCCTCCCTCATTTTTCCCACGCAGCCCCTGTTTGGGAATTTGAGATTCTGGGTCATGCTGGTGTTCCTTTCAGAAGTGCTTGAAATTGAGTTCTCTTAGCCACTGGACACCTAGTTTTCAGAAGAATGTCCCAAGATTGTTTATATATACAAAATGGCAAAATTACTGTTTTTCGAATTGATAATTCAAGCAAAAGGCTTCTCTTTACCATCACTGGTTTTTTTTGTTTTTGTTTTGTTTCCTTGTTTCTATTTCCTTGAAGCTTTGAAGGGAGGAGAAGCAGAAAATTTTGTTTTTGTTTTTTAAAAATCAGAACTACTTAATGCTTTTTGCCACAGCATATTTCCTTGCCTGTTGGAGCTGTTAGGAAGATTACCCATGTCCTAATCTTCAACCTGAGAAGATTTTTGACTCTTGTGTCTACTGTTGATTATTTTCTTGAGTTCTCAAAGACCTGTGGCCAGGTATTTTAAAAAGTCATCTGTTTCTTTCTAGTTGCATCAACTTGCACACTGGTGTCTACCTATATGTGGTATTCGGAACTTAAAATTCTTATTGAGCAGCCATTGCCTATATTTTCTCAGCTCCTCACTGACTTCTTTATATGAGCTCAGCTGACAAGCGAATACAGCTATTTGGTTGCCCTCTCTTCATACTGGACCATCAACAACAGTGTTCTAACTCATCCATGATGGTCTGTGAGATGCAGACTATTACACAAGATTCAAGTTACTCGTAAGCAACTTTTAGATAGAGTTGGTCCTGTTAGGAGGAGACTCTTGATGTCACCTTCAGTATCTTGAAAGCGGGTCCCCTCCCGAGGCTCTTAATTTTTGGAAAACTTGATGCTGTTTCAGCTGAAAAATTAGCAAGACTGTTAAAAAAACAAGTTGAGGGGAGCTGTTTAAGAAACTGAAAAGTAATTGCAAACTACATTGGGTAATTGTGACTTTCAGTTGTTGTTCTGTATCAGTTGAATTTTTGTGCTCTTTTCCCTGTGTACATGGTGGTTCTATCTCCAATAAAACTTTTGTTAAAAAAAAAAAAGTGAGGAGAATTTGGAATCTGTTCATAGGGTTTTTTAAAATGGAGGTCTGATCTAATTAAAAATGACTTCTGAGATGATATCAACAAGTACACTAAAATTTATTGAGGGGTTGATCACAGAAATGCTATATGTTTCTTTTAGTTAAAACACGTGGGGGAACTCTTCATCAGAGATGAATCCAACCTAAAAAACACAGAAGGAAGGATAAATTTAGAAAAATCATCATTTTTGCAGCCATTCAGGTAGGACCATAGATTCGGGCAAGGATCATCAATTAACTTTAAAACTACTGGGTAAATTATTTGGGAAAGTAATATTCACAGGATCTTAAAGTACCATGCCATCTTTTTATTAACTGCATATGAAAAACAGAACCCCAACAATGGAGAGACCTAGCAGATACAGGCTTACAAAATGTGGACCGCACATATGATGCAATGGCACGTATATAACATCACCTATGTAACTTTCTTGCCAAAAACACATAACTGGAATCTAATTGTCAAAAAAAAATTCTAACAAAACCAGACTGAGCAACATTTTACATAACAAGGGGACAGGACTTTTAAAAACTGTCAGTGTATTAAAGTGAAACAAACTAAAAAAAACTGTTCGTGATGAAGAAGGATTAACAAAACAAGATAACCAAATTAAAAGCTTGTTCCTTGACTGGACTACAGGAAGTCCATCAAAAAAAAGCTATAAGAGATATTTTAGTATAACTGGGAAAATGTAGTTATAAGATATTAGATAATATTAATGTATTGATAATAATTCCTTGAGTGTGAATGTTATTATTATTATGTAGGAGAAAGTCCTTGTTTTTGGGAATTATATACTGAAGTACTTAGGTGTTAAATGTGACAGATTAGATTACATAGGTAGATAGATGATAGATAAATGCAGATAAATGTATAGATTAAAATGTAGATGTATGCACATTTCCATATATTATATGTATACTATATACCTACACACACATATATTCATTCTAGAAAGATATTATGCTACATAATAGTTGCTACAGATTTTCTAACACTCCCAGTAATGTGGAGAGTGGGGAGATACCATATAATTGAATACATGATATTTCTTTTCTTTCCTCTTTTTTTTTTGTTTTTTTTGAGACAGGGCCTTGCTCTGTCACCCAGGCTGGAGTACAGTGGTACGACCATAGCTCACAGCAGCGTCAACCTCTTGGACACCAGCAATCCTCCCACTTCAGCCTCCCAAGTAGCTGGGACTACAGGCACATGCCACTACACCCAGCTAATTTTTTTATTTTTTGTAGAGATAGAGTTTCACTATGTTGCTCAGGCTGGCCTCCAGCTCCTGGGTGCAAATGATCCTTCCACTTTGGCCTCCCAAAGAGCTGGGATTACAAATGGGAATCTCCACACCTGGCCTTTTCTTTAGCAAAACATTAATATTTATACAAAGTATGATAAATAAGGAAAATAAATACATTCACTCCACGCAAGTAAATGTTTAGCCAAATGAAATTACACCCACCTTAAATGGTTTTTAACTACTCAGGCTTTTAATATTACATAATTGAGAATGAGATATTTCTAACCCTGTATTACAGAAAATTAAACAATCAGATATGTGTTCTGTAGCACGGTAGCCATGAATGATCCATGGCTATTTGTATTTAAATTTAAAGTAATGAAAAGTAAATAAAATTTTAAATTCATTTCCTCAGTTGCATTCATTACACTTCCGGTGCTCAATAGGTACCTGTGGCTAGTGGATTCCATATGGCACAATACAGACATTCAGAATTCCCTCTTCCCTATAAGATGGCAATAGTGATTTCAACCTTATCAAACTCCAATCCTTTTTCCTCTCAAAGTTAAATTTTCATTATTTTATTTCTTTATAATGGCAATATGTACTCGCTTCAAGTGGAATGGAGCAGCTTGCAGAATAGCAACTAAAAAGTCTCAATAAACACAGAAACCATGTGTTAGAAGGCACTGGAAAAGATGTTGAGACAAAAATTACTCAGGCTTGCAGGCATGGGGGAACTCAGAGAGGTTACAGTCAATTTTTGATGGCTACAGTCAATTTTTGACTGTGTTTCGTATGTTTATTGTGGCACTATTCACAATAGCAAAGACTTGGAACCAACCCAAATGTCCATCAATGATAGACTAGATTAAGAAAATATGACACATATACACCATGGAATACTATGCAACCATAAAAAATGATGACTTCATGTCCTTTGCAGGGACATTGATGAAGCTGGAAACCATCATTCTCAGCAAACTATCACAAGATCAGAAAACCAAACACCGCATGTTCTCACTTATAAGTGGGAGTTGAACAATAAGGACACAGGGAGGGTAACATCACACACCAGGGCCTGTGGGGGATGTTGGGGCTAGGGGAGGGATAACATTAGGAGAAATACCTAATGTAGGTGACAGGTTGATGGGTGCAGCGAACCACCATGGCACGTGTATACCTATGTAACAAAACTGCACATTCTGCACATGTATCCCAGAACTTAAAGTATAATAAAAAAAAAATTGAAAAAAAATTTTTTTTGACTGTGTTGATATCTAATTCTGAATGAAGGTAGAAGGTGTTGCATAATTCTGTCTGCCTAGCATGGGAGGGATGAACCCTTTCTGGAAGAAGATGAACCTCATCTGACATTCTGCATTTTTTCATACATCATAACTGGCACTTAACCAAAATTTATGAGTCACTCCAAAGACAGAACTAAGTGAGCACAAAAAGAATAGAGAAGGGAGAAAAGATTATAAAAACAACCACAATACAGAACATTATCTTCCTTATTTTATGAAGCCAACATTTCCTCAATATCAGAAATCTGACAAGAAAATTTTGAGGAAGAAAAATTGCAAACCAATGTCTCTTGTAAATATAAGTTCAAACATCCTGAAAATCATAGCAAATAAAACCCAGCTGTGTATGTCTCTGTGTGCACATTTGTGTGTATTTTAACTAATATATATATTATATCTATAGACAGGACAAAATATATGGCCATATCGATTGATGCAGAGACTCCATTTGATCAAATTGTATACACATTCAAGACCAAAAAAAGTCATCAAAAGTAGAAGGCAACCTTCTCTAATCTGATTTTTTACTTATGAAAATATACATAAAACATCATTCTCACTGGTGAGATGTTAAATCTCCACCCATCCTGAACATCATATATGAAACAAGGATGCCCACCATCATGATTTATTCAACGCTGTCCTGGAAATCCTAACCAGTGAAATAAAACAATAAAGAGAAAACTGAGTTATAAGAATTGAAAAATAAGAAATAAAATAAATATTAAAAGAGAACACAGAATACATAGAAATTACAAATAAATTTACAAACAAAAAATTAGCAATGCCAAGTAAATTTGCTTGATGTAAGGTCATCAAAATAATAAAGTCAATTATATTTCCATGTACCAGAAACAAAGAAATGGAAAAGGCATTTTTTTTAAAGTATATTATTTAAAAGCCAGGTGCAGTGGCACACATCTCTAATCCCAGCTACTCAGGAGGAAGAGGTGGAGGATTGCTTGAGCCCAGAAGATCAATCTGTGCAACATAGCAAGACTCTGTTTTGAAAATATATTTTTAATATTATATATATTTATTTCATATTATATATATTTTATATTATATATTAAATACACAACTTACAATTACATAGAAATATCATTTCAGAAAAAAAACGTAATACATGAGAAAGCCACTGAACTGAAGACAAAACATTACTGACACAATAGAAGAAAGCCCAAATAAATAAAGAGCATAATCATATCCATGAATTGAAAGATTCAACCTGTCAGGACATCAATTATTTCTAAATTGATCTAAAGATTTAATGTCATCATGATAAAAATCCCAGCACAGTGTTTTGGGAAATTGACAAAATGATACTTTCAACACTTACTTGGAAATGTAAACAACCTGAGAATAGCCACAAAAAAAAAATACTAAAGAAGCAGAACAAATTTGGAAGACATACACTGCTAGATACTGAGACCTGTTATAAACCTTCATAGGCCCAAACTGGAATGGAAACAGCAGAGTCCAGAAAGCTGCCCCACGTATGAATTTTACACTTCTCTCATCATGTGTTGTTAGAGGATTGGGACTATACTATGAATTTGGGGACTTGAAGAGCATGGAGATGTAGTGTAGGAGAAACAAGCTTACCTTGGGGATGAGGTAGTTTTTGAATTTAACATCACAGGTCACTGCATGGGGCAGGTTGGTGGGGAGGAGGTCAATGTATCTCTGGATCTCGTGCACCACAGCATCTGTGTAGGGCATGTGACTCCTGTCCTGCATACAGGGGCTCCGGTTTCTGCCAACTACACATTCAATCTCTTCCTGGACTTTAGCTGATAAGACACAAGTAAGAAATGATGGAAAAGGAGGAAAATGGCACATTTGTTGTAGCAATTCAGGTTACAAGAAGCATAAGGAAGGGGTCCCAACATCATTATAAACTTATAGGACTGAAAGTACACCTAGACTTAGGGAAGAAATTACTACATTATAGATACATCCAACTCTCCTACAAGCTAAGTATTAAGATAAATCTGTAACCACCTACATATTAGCATACAAGATAATCAGTACAAATATAAATGATAAAATACTTCAAAATATAAATATTTAGTACATTATAAACTCAAGAAATTACTGTTCTTGAAGAAAGAAAAAAATCAAATTAATGTTGTATCAGAATAACATATAATGTTTTAAAACTTTAATTCTACTAACAGATCTATATGTATGGATGGATTTGTGTATTGTGTGCATATGTTTATTTGAAACTTGAAATGATATTCTCTCTCATCCTCACACTCCACAAAGGTGACTATGTTGAAACATTCTAGAAGTTTCTTCTGAAGTTTATATTCATATTTCTAAATACTGACTCTCTTTTTATTTTTTAATTTATCTTTGAAAATTTCTAAAACCTCATGGTAAGAAAGATGAGGACTTATATCTCCATCATCACCCCATAACAAATAGACACACACCCACAAACAGAAACATGCACACACATTCACACTTCCCCCACTCTAGTTTCCCCAATGTATTTATATCACATTTTTATTATATTAATACTCATGTTCACACCATTATTATTTCATAAACATTGACCACAAGTGGGACAGCTGTAATTATGTCTCTTTTTTGTATATTCTTGGACTTGTGTGTCCATTTCAATTCTAATTTTCATATGCCAATTTAGAATTACTGCAAATGCTCAGAAATGTTTCAAACTCTTACTAATAATTTTCTAAACACTAAAAATAATCAAATAATCAATCAACTTTTCTTTGCCCTTAATGTCTTCCCTCACACCTCCATGATCCACCTGGTCCATTCTAAAGCATTTGTTTTCTAGACCTGGTATCCAGCAGCCTCCCTGACACTTCCATCCTCCTACATGAGATCTCCTGATCCCTGCAGCCCATGATTTCCCCTGAATTGGTTTCAGACATTTGGATGGAAAATATTCTCTAGTATCTTTCTAAGAAAATAAACACAAAGGGCAAAAATTTTTTGCCAAATGCAGATCTGAAAATATTCTTTATCTACAAATACACAAGATGACAGCTGCTCTTGAGAATTCTAATGCCATTCTGATTCCTGATCCTTCACAGGTGACCTAATTTATCTCTGAATGTTTTTATGACTTTCCCTTTAACTCTGATGTTCTAAAATTCCCCATGGTCTGGTGTCTTGGATGAATATTTTCCATTTCATTCACTTTGCTGGACATTTGGTAAGAATTTTCTATCTAAATGGTGAAAAATGGAGGTCTTTCCACTGGTGCTACTTGTCCTCTGGAGTTTACACCTGGCTGCTGTATTTTAGGAACAAGATAGAAAAAGGCGCTAAAGGCCTTAGAATTCAAGTGGACTCTTACTTAACCCCTCACTCTTTCCCAGTCTCTGTCTGTTGTCCATGAGTGAGCCTCTTAGGTTCAGTTTCTCTAGAGAGTGAACCTCCCTTTTCTGTGGAGAAAAACAATTAGTTGACAAATGGAGTTGTGGAGGGAAACTAGGCAGGGAGAATTTTCTGTTTTCTGCCTCATTCTCCCTCTATGTTCTTTGGGTCTTGGTTCTTTTGAATACTCAGCCTTATGGGGACTATAGCAACAGAAATTCTTATGACCCTTAGGTTGCAACTTCAATCTCTCTGCCAAATTGGTTATCATCCTTCTATCTGCTCTCTGTGTCTGAGAAGTTTGTTAAAGACTTGATGGTTATACTCCAACTTTAACAGGAGTAATTCTCATTTGTAATATGTTTATCATCACTTCAGTGTGATTCTGACCCCAGAAAAACAAGTGTGTGGCTAATATGTTATGCAGAGCCAGAATCTGCTCATAGATAAATATAAAAGTTGAAGAAAAAAAAAAGTTGCTTGTAAAAGATAAAACTATTGACCCTAAGAAAAAATATTGACAAGTACCATTTTTCTAGATGCAGATTTTGATAATCATAAAATTCCTCAGGCACATTTTCTGCTTAAATATCATACACCTTTATTATACACCTAAGTGTTTAAAATACTTCCCAGACTATACAGATTTTCTCAGGCTATCTCATGACATTTCTAGAATATCCACTATACACTTCAATAAATAGTATTTCCCAAAGAATCAAAAATAGAACTACCCTTTGATCCAGCAATCCCACTACTGGGTATCTATCCAAAATAAAAGAAATCATTTTATCGAAAAGACATCTGCATTCATATGTTTACTGCAGCACTATTCACCAAGGCAAATTCATAAAATCAACCCAAGCATCCATCAACAGATGAATGGATTAAAATTGTTATGTGTGGGATTTAAAAATCTGCATCTAGTATTCTATGGTGTGTCACACACACACACACACCATGCACTACTACTCAGCCATGTAAAAGAACGAAATCGTGTCTTTTGTGGCAACATGGATGGAACTAGAAGCCATTATCCTAAGTGCAAATGCTCAAAATAGAAAGTCAAAAACCACATGTTCTCACTTATAAATGGGAGCTAAACAATGGGTACACAGAGACATACAGAGTGGAATAATAGACACTGGAGAGTCCAAAAGGTGGAAAGGTGGGAGGGAGGTGAGGGATGAAATGCTACCTATTGGGAACAATGTACACTATTCAGGTGAAGGGTACACTGAAAGCCCAGACTTCACCACTAGGGAATATATTCATGAACACAATTGCACTTGTACCCCTAAGTCTATAAAAATAGAAATTTACCAAAACATTAAAAAATGGCATCAAACCAACCACAAAAGAATTGCCAATAATAAAAATTAAAAATAAAAAGAGTTTCTGTCTTTACTGTCCCAGCATTAAAACACTACATTTTCAGAATAAGGGAAGATCTATAGAAGCATACCTGGCTGGGCACAGTGGCATATGCCTGTAATCCAAGAACTTTGGGAGGCCAAGGTGGGCAGATCATTTGAGATCAGGAGTTTGAGCCTAGCCTGACCAACATGGTGAAACCCCGTCTCTACTAAAAATACAAAATAATTAGCCAGGTGTGGTGGGTACACCTGTAATCCCAGCTACTCAGGAGGCTGAGGCAGGAGAATCACTTGAACCCGGGAGGCGGAGGTTGCAGTGAGCCAAGATTGCACCACTGCACTCCAGCCTGGGTGACACAGTGAGACTCTGTCTCAAAAAAAAAGAAAGAAAGAAAGAAAGAGCATATCTATTACTCAAAGTGGTCTGTTCTGCTGGAAAATGGAATTTTGTAGACATGGCTTTTAGTGAAATAAAATTTCTACTCATTTCAAAAAAGAAACTGCAACAAAGTGGTCTGTTCTTTAGAAAACCAACATACAATCCTAGGCCAATTCATCATGCCTGTGCCTGCTACAAATCGTCTCCCATGAAATCTAGACACTTTATTAAAAGTATTTAGTCACTAAAATCCAGGGCTTTATTACTTTTGCTACTGATCACACTGTCTTCACCTCTCTCAGTCCCTCTTCCCTATTGTGCAAATTTGTCTCATTCTTATCCCTTCATCATATTTAGACAACTTAGAGCCAATGGCACAGAAATTTCAATAATGAAGCTTCTCTAAGAGAAACAAGATTGAGGACAATAGCAGTGTCTTCCCAACATCTTTTCTGAAAATCACCCTGCTCACCTATGGTATCATCATACCTGTGACCTCTGGGTACTTCAGCAGGAGCAGGAGTCCATATCTCAGAGTGGTGCTCGTTGTCTCTGTTCCAGCCCCAAACATATCAGTTACAGTGGCTATCAAGCTTTCAACAGTAAATTCAGACTGTTGATTGTGCTTTTCCTAAAAAATTATTTCATAATTTAATTATTTGGTAGTTTGCCAGCATATTAAATTACAAAAAATCCAAAATATATCAGGTTGTTCTAAAGATAAGGAAGTTTGGAAACTGTACAGAGTGCAGTATTAAAACTACAACAATTGCACGGTGTGGCAGAGAATGTAAAATAGTTCATTTCCCATTCCTACTTATCCATTGCTTGCCTAAAAATTCTATTTCTGAATATCTTTTGGAGCTGTGTTGGCCATGAAACATATTTCTTGTCTATGACATATAAGCAGGTACCTGTTGATGGCACTTTCTCTCCTTTTTACTCAAAACACATATATGAAGGTAGAGGTGATATAGATATCACCTTGGAACATGAATATTTAAGAATATAACAAGTCCATCTGTGGTGGCTCATGCCTGTAATCCCAACACTTTGGGATGCCAAGGCAGGAGGATCACTTGAGTTCTGGAGTTTGACACCAGCCTGGGCAACAAGTGAGACCCCCTGTCTCTAAAAAAAAAATCAAAAACTTGGCCAGGCATGGTGGCACATGCCTGTAATCCCAGCACTTTGGGAGGCCAAGACAGGCAGTCACCTGAGGTCAGGAGTTCGAGACCAGCCTGGGCAACATGGTGAAATCTCATCTCTACTAAAAACACAAAAATTAGCCGGGCGTGATGGCATGCGCCTGTAATCTCAGCTACTCGGAAGGCTGAGGCATAAGAATCACTTGAACCCAGGAGACGGAGGTTGCAGTGAGCCGAGATCACACCACTGCACTCTATCCTGGGTGACAGAGTGAAACTCCTCTCAAAAAAAAAAATAAAAATCAAAAAATTAACCAGGTGAATTGCACATATCTGTGGTCCCAGCTACATGGGAGGCTGACACAGAGAAACACATGAGCCCAGGAGGTCAAGGCTGCAGTGAAGCATGTTCATGCCACTGCACTCCAGCTTGGATGACAAAGAGAGATCCTGTCTCAAAAAAAAAAATAATCAAGATGAAGGTTCATGTTGTAAGCGTGGGGATCAAAAATGGCAGGCACCTAGTTCTAGGATGCTTCAGAGCTACAGTACTAGTTCTGCACTGCCCAACATGACACCCTGTATGTGAAATAAATAAACACATTATTTGTTTAAGCCATGTTAATTTTTTTTCTTATTTGTATATATACAATCTTAATTGATAGAAATAGAAATAAGTAAATTAGAGACATAAATACATTATAAGCAAGAATCAAGGGTTTGCAATTCTCAGTGTCACAATAGGGACATTGCAGAATAGGAGGCTCCAGTCTCTTCTTCCACCCAAGGATACACCAAATAAATATCTATTCACAGATCAATTCCCTGTGAGAGAAAGTCAGAAACAAGTTGAGAGACTTCTATGTACTGAGCAACAAAGAAAATATCCACATAGACTGGGAAGAAAAAGCTACAGCACCAACCTCACCCAGGCACTACACCATACAATTGAGAATGAATCCCCAACATCCAGCTTCTCCCTGTGGAAAGGAGGATTTAGACCACACATTAACACCCTAACTCTAAGGTTCCCCACAGCTATCTACTTAACTTACCAATTCTGGGAGCAGAGAGGACTAAGTATACAGGAGTCTCTCTCTAGACCACTGGAAAAAGTACCAGTATTATATTAGTGCACAAGCACTTCCAGAGGTTTAATCCTCTGGGATCATGGCAGAGAAAGGGATGAAACTCAAAAGTCCAAGTTTCTGCCTGGATGAGACTTGTTAGCATGTCCTGCAAATTGCTGCTCCTGATAGTGGAGCTAATAACTAGCCTCAACACAAGTCCATATATGACAAGTGCATGGCTAACCTCATATTCAATAGTGGAAAGTTGAAGGATTTTCCCATAAGATCAGGAAAAAGATATGGATGCCCACTCTCAGTACTTCAATTCAACATAGTATGAGAAGTACTAGCCAGAGCAATGAGACAAGAAAAATAAATGAAAGACATCCAAAGAAGAAAAGAAGTAAAATTGTCTCTGTTTGCTGATGGCATGATCTTACATACAGAAAACCTTAAACACATCACCAAAAAACTCTTAGAACTGATAATTAAATTCAGTAAAGTTGCAGGATACAAAATCAACACACAAAAATTAATAGTGTTTCAACACATTAACAACAAATGATATGAAAAAGAAATTTTAAAAATAAACCCATTTACAATAGCATCAAAGAAATAAAGTATTTAGGAGTACATTTAACCAAAAAAGTGAAAGTCACCAAAAAATATAAAATATTAATTAAAAAAATGAAGAAGACACAAATAAAAAAGAGATACCATATGCATGGATTGGAAGAGTTGATATTGTTAAAATGTCCATACTATCTAAAGAAATTTATGGTTTCATTGAAATCCCTATCAAAATTCCAATGTTATCTCTCTTAGAAATAGGAAAAGTCATCCCCAAAAAATTCATATAGAACCACAAAAATACCCAAATAGCCAAGGCAATAATTAGCAGAAAGAAGAAAGCTGGAGGCATCACATTACCTGATTTCAAGCTATACTACAAATTAATAGTAATTAAAACAGCATGGTACTGGCATAAAAATGGACACATCAACCAACAGAATATAACAGAGAGCTGGAAAAGAACCCATGCAACTACAATTGATTTTAGACAAAGGTACCAAGAATATGCAATGGAAAGGGGACAGTCTCTTAAATAAATGGTGAGAAAACTGGATATCCAAATGCTAAAGAATAAAATTGAACACTGATCTCACACCATATACTCAAGCAACTCAACATGGATTAAAGACTTAAACATAACACCAGATACTGTAAACTACTAGAAGACAAGATTGAGGAAAAACTACAGGACATTGATCTGGGCAATACAAGCCAGAAGAGAGTGGGGGCCGATATTCAACATTCTTAAAGAAAAGAATTTTCAACCCAGAATTTCATATCCAGCCAAACTAAACTTCATAAGTGAAGGAGAAATAAAATCCTTTACAGACAAGCAAACCCTGAGAGATTTTGTCACCACCATGCCTGCCCTACAAGAGCACCAGAAGGAAGCACTAAACATGGAAAGCAAAAACCGCTACCAGCCACTGCAAAAACATGCTAAATTGTAAAGACCATTGATGCTAGGAAGAAACTGCATAAACTAATGAGCAAAATAACCAGCTAACATCATAATGACAGGATGAAATTCACACATAACAATATTAACCTTAAATATAAATGGACTAAATGCACTGATTAAAAGACACAGACTAGCAAACTGGATAAAGAGTCAAGACTCCTCAGTGTGCTGTATTCAGGAGACCTGTCTCACATACAGAGACACACACAGACTCAAAATAAAGGGAAGGAGGAAGATCTACCAAGCAAATGGAAAACAAAAAAAGGCAGGGGTTGCAATCCTAGTCTCTGATAAAACAGACTTTAAACCAACAAAGATCGAAAGACACAAACAAGGCCATTACATAATGGTAAAGGGATCAATTCAACAAGAAGAGCTAACTATCCTAAATATATATGCACCCAATACAGGAGCACCCAGATTCATAAAGCAAGTCCTTAGAGACCTACGAAGATAATTAGACTCCTACACAACAATAATGGGAGACTTTAACACCCCACTGTCAACATTAGACAGATCAAGGAGACAGAAAGTTAACAAGGATATCCAGGAATTGAACTCAGCTCTGCACCAAGCAGATCTAATAGACATCTACAGAACTCTCCACCCCAAATCAACAGAATTTACATTCTTCTCAGCACCATATCGCACGTATTCCAAAACTGACCACATAGTTGGAATTAAAGCACTCCTCAGCAAATGTAAAAAAACAGAAATTATAACAAACTGTCTCTCAGACCACAGTACAATCAAACTAGAACTACAATTAAGAAACTCACCCAAAACCACTCAATTACATGCAAACTGAACAACCTGCTCCTGAATGACTACTGGGTACATAATGAAATGAAGGCAGAAATAAAGATGTTCTTGAAACCAATGAGAACAAAGACACAACATACCAGAATCTCTGGGACACATTTAAAGCAGTGTGTAGAGGGAAATGTATAGCACTAAATGCCCACAAGAGAAAGGAGGAAAGATCTAAAATTGACACCCTAACATCACAATTAAAAGAACTAGAGAAGCAAGAGCAAACCCATTCAAAAGCTAGCAGAAGGCAAGAAATAACTAAGATCAGAGCAGAACTGAAGGAGATAGAGACACAAAAACCCTTCAAAAAATCAATGAATCCAGGAGCTGGTTTTTTGAAAAGATCAACAAAATTGATAGACCACTAGCAAGACTAATAAAGAAGAAAAGAGAGAAAAATCAAATAGATGCAATAAAAAATGTTAAAGGGGATATCACCACTGATCCCACAGAAATGCAAACTACCATCAGAGCATACTATAAACACCTCTACGCAAATAAATTAGAAAATCTAGAAGAAATGGATAAATTTCTCGACACATACACTCTCCCAAGACTAAACCAGGAAGAAGCTGAATCCCTGAATAGACCAATCACAGGCTCTGAAATTCAGGCAATAATTAAGAGCCTACCAACAAAAAAAAAGTCCAGGACCAGATGGATTCACAGCCAAATTCTACCAGAGGTACAAGGAGGAGGTGGTACCATTCCTTCTGAAACTATTCCAATCAATAGAAAAAGAGGGAATCCTCCCTAATGCATTTGATGAGGCCAGCATCATCGTAATACCAAAGCCTGACAGAGACACAACAGAAAAAGAGAATTTTAGACCAAAATTCCTGATGCACATCGATACAAAAATCCTCAATAAAATACTGACAAACTGATTCCAGCAGCACATTAAAAAGCTTATCTACCATGATCAAGTTGGCTTCATCCCTGGGATGCAAGGCTGGTTCAATATATGCAAATCAATAAATGTAATCCAGCATATAAACAGAACCAAAGACAAAAACCACATGATTATCTCAATACTACATGCAGAAAAGGCCTTTGACAAAATTCAAAAACCTTCATGCTAAAAACTCTCAATAAATTCGGTATTGATGGGACACATCTCAAAATAATAAGAGCTATTTATGACAAACCCAAAGCCAATATCATACTGAATGGGCACAAACTGGAAGCATTCCCTTTGAAAACTGGCACAAGACAGGGATGCCCTCTCTCACCACTTCTATTCAACATACTGTTGGAAGTTCTGGCCAGAGTAATCAGGCAGGAGAAAGAAATAAAGGGTATTCAATTAGGAAAAGAGGAAGTCAAATTGTTCCTGTTTGTAGATGACATGATTGTATATTTAGAAAACCCCATTGCCTCAGCCCAAAATCTCCAAAAAGCTGATAAGAAACTTCAGCAAAGTCTCAGGATACAAAATAAGTGTGCAAAAATCACAAGTATTCTTATACACCAATAACAGACAAACAGAGTGCCAAATCATGAGTGAACTCCCATTCACAATTGCTTCAAAGAGAATAAAATACCCAGGAATCCAACTTCCAAGGGATATGAAGGACCTCTTCAAGAAGAACTACAAACCACTGCTCAATGAAATAAAAGAGGACACAAACAAATGGAAGAACATTCCATGCTTACGGATAGGAAGAAACAATTTTGTGAAAATGGCCATACTTCCCAAGGTAATTTATAGATTCAATGCCATCCCCATCAAGCTACCAATGACTTTCTTCACAGAATTGGAAAAAACTACTTTAAAGTTCATATGGAACCAAAAAAGAGCCCACATTGCCAAGTCAATCCTGAGTCAAAAGAACAAAGCTGGAGGCATCATGCTACCTGACTTCAAACTATACTACAAGGCTACAGTAACCAAAACAGCATGGTACTGGTACTGACACAGAGATATAGACCAATGGAACAGAACAGAGCCATCAGAAATAATACCGCACATCTACAACCATCTGATCTTTGACAAACCTGACAAAAACAAGAAATGAGGAAAGGATTCCCTATTTAATAAATGGTACTGGGAAAACTGGCTAGCCATATGTAGAAAGCTGAAACTGGATCCCTTCCTTACATCTTATACAAAAATTAATTCAACATGGATTAAAGACATAAATGTCAGATCTAAAACCATAAAAACCCTAGAAGAAAACCTAGGCAATACCATTCAGGACATAGGCATGGGCAAGGACTTCATGTCTAAAACACCAAAAGCAATGGCAACAAAAGACAAAATTGACAAATGGGATCTAATTAAACTAAAGAGCTTCTGCACAGCAAAAGAAACTACCATCAGAGTGAATAGGCAACCTAAAGAATGAGAGAAAATTTTTGCAATCTACTCATCTGACAAAGGGCTAATATCCAGAATCTACAAAGAACTCAAACAAATTTACAAGAAAAAAAACAACCCCATCACAAAGTGGGTGAAGTATATGAACAGACACTTCTCAAAAGAAGACATTTATGCAGCCAACAGACACATGAAAAAATGTTCATCATCACTGGTCATCAGAGAAATGCAAATCAAAACCACAATGAGATACCATCTCACACCAGTTAGAATGGCGATCATTAAAAAGTCAGGAAACAGGTGCTGGAGAGGATGTGGAGAAATAGGAACACTTTTACACACTGTTGGTGGGACTTTAAACTAGTTCAACCACTGTGGAAGACAGTGTGGCAATTCCTCAAGGATCTAGAACTAGAAATATCATTGGACCCAGCCATCCCATTACTGGGTATATACCCAAAGGATTATAAATCATGCTGCCATAAAGACACATGCACACGTATGTTTATTGTGGCATTATTCACAATAACAAAGACTTGGAACCAACCCAAATGTCCATCAGTGATAGACTGGATTAAGAAAATGTGGCACATATACACCATGGAATATATGCAGCCATAAAAAAGGATGAGTTCGTATCCCTTGTAGGGACATGGATGAAGCTGGAAGCCATCATTCTCAGCAAACTATCACAAAGACAAAAAACCAAACACCGCATGTTCTCACTCATAGGTGGGATTTGAACAATGAGAACACATGGACACAGGAAGGGGAACATCACACACGGGGGACTATTGTGGGGTGGGGGGAGCGGGGAGGGATAGCATTAAGAGATATACCTAATGTAAATGATGAGTTAATGGGTGCAGCACACCTACATGGCACATGTATACATATGTAACAAACCTGCACATTGTGCACATGTACCCTAGAACTTAAAGTATAATTAAAAAAAGAAAAAAATATGAGAAAAAATAACATTGGAAGAAAAACATATTAAATTTCTATACTTCTTTTAAAATTAAAATTAAAATTAAAAACTATATACACACAGACATGCATGCACATATATGTGGAACTTAAACAACTCTATAGAAAGAAAACAAATAATCCAATTAAGAAATGGGCAAATAGCCTGAATGAATATTTCTAAAAAGAAGACATACAAATGATTAAGAGATACATAAAAAGATGCTTAACAACACTAATCATTAAAAAGTTACAAATTAAAAACACAATGAGCTATCACCTCACATCTGTTAGAATGGCTATTATCAAAGAGAGAAAAAACAAGTGTTGGTGAAGATGTGGAAAAAGGGGAACACTTGTGTACTGTTGATGGGAATGTAAGTTAGTGCAACCATTATGGAAAACAGTAAAAGGTTCCTCAAAAAACTAAAAATAGAATTACAACATGATCCAGTGATTCGGCTTATGGGCATTTACTCAAAAGATTTGAAATCAGTATGTCAAAGCAATGTCTGCACTCCCATGTAAATTGCAGCACTATTCCCAATAGCTAATATATAGAATCAGCCTAAGTGCCCATCAACAGATAAATGGATAAAGAAAATGTGGTATATATACACAATAGAATACTATTCAGCCTTAAAAATGAAGAAATTCTGTTATTTGTGATAACAGGGATGGAACTGGAGAACATTATGCTAAGTAAAGTCAGGTCAGGAACAGGAAAACAAATACTATATATTCTCACTTATATGTGGAATCTAAAACAACCGAACTCATAGAAGAGAGTAGAATGCTGATTGCCAGAGGGCTTGGGGGCGGGGGGAAAGGGGGAGATGATAGTCAAAGGGTATAAAGCCTGTTAGAATGGAGGAGTAAATCTGATCTCTTTTTTAAAAAATAATAAATTGCACAGCCAGTTGAATATAGCTAATAATAGAGTACAATCCACCTTCCTATCCATGGATTCCACATCCATTGATTCAACCAACCTTAAATAAAAAAAAAAAAAAATTGGAAAAAGAGGCCAGGTGAGGTGGCTCATGCCTGTAATCCCAGCACTTTGGGAGGCCAAGATGGGAGGATCGCTTGAGCCCAGAAGTTCAAGACTAGCCTAGGCAACCTGGAAAGACCCTATCTCTACAAAAAAAAAAAAAAAAAAAATTAGTTGGGCATGGTGGCATGCACCTGTTGTCCCATATACTTAGGAGGCTGAGGTGGAAGAATTGCTTGAGCCCAGGAGTTCAAGGCTGCAGTGAGCTATGGTCATACCACTTCACAACAGCCTGGGCAATGGGGCAAGATTCTGCCTCTAAAACAAAAAAGAATAAAATTCAGAAAAAAAAAAGTGTTCATATTGGACATGTACAGACTTCTTTTTCTTGTCATTATTCCCTAAAAAATACAGTATAACAACCACTTACATGGCATTTACATTGTATAAGGAATTATAGGTAATTTAGACTGGGCACAGTGGCTCATGCCTTAAATCCCAGCACTGTCGGAAGCTGAGGCAGGAGGAATACTTGAGTTCAGGAGGTCCACTCCAGCCTGGGCAAACACAGTGAGACCCTATCTCTATAAAAACAAATTTTTAATTATCTGGGCATGGTGATGTGCACCTGCAGTCCCAACTACTGGGGAGGCTGAGGTGGGAGGATCACTTGAGTCCAGAAGGTCGAGCTAAAGTGAGCCACAATCATGCCAATGCATTCCAGCCTGGGTGACAGAGTAAGACTCTGTCTGAGAAAAAAAAAAGAATTTAGTCACACTCAATATTGCCTGCAGACTCATTATGAACTCGGAAATGTGCAAAAGATAACATGGTAACATATCCAAGATTATGGAGAAAGAGAACAGATTGACAAGACAAGATGGGGCCAGCCATTATTATATTCCAGATGTGAGGTAATAGTCAACTTGATCTAGTAAACAAGCACAGGAATGAATAAGAATATAGAAATTGAAGAGACACTACAGACATGAAGACAGAGAGTTTGGACATTAACCACCTATACAGGATGAAGGAGAGAGTAAGGGCAATGGAGATGCTTAGGACAAGGGACTGAATGAACTGAGTTCTTATATTCAGTTGGTGAAAAAGTAATTGCAGTTTATGCCATTAATAATAAAATGGAGAGTGGAAGAACAAAGCACTTCACAAGGCAACTAAGGCTGGTTTAAGATGAGGGAAATATGTAACACAAAATTGACCATAACAATGGGACAGTCTAAATTATTGACTATAGGGAGTAATTAACATACAAAAAAAGATTTCTTCCTATTCAATCCTCTAGAACAGCATTAATTTAATAAGGCTGTTATAATCTCCATGTGACCTGTGGCATGCCTAATATTATGTAATCAACCACAGTAAGACAAACCTAGTCCTCTCAACAGATGTACTTGCTAGACAAAGGTCATCATGCCCATTGGTAACATCAACTTAACACAGTTTTCTAAGCTTATCAACTCAAAATTACACCAAAGCCAGGAAGGAGAGTAGAGCACTTATAAACCAATACTAATATTTCCTTCTGTTTAAGTGAATTTGAAAAATCAGTGGTTATGTACAAATAGCCTATCAAAATTAAGCTAGCTGACACAAAACATTGTTGAAAGAAATTAAAGAAGATCTAAATAAATGGAAAGACATCCCATGTTCATCTATTGGAAGACTTAATATCGTTAAAATGGCATTACTTCCCAAATTGATCTACAGATTCAAAGTGATCCATATCAAAATATCTGTTACCTTTTTAATAGAAATGGACAAGATTACCATAAAATTCATGGGGAACTCTACACAACCAAAATAGCTAAGAACCAAAACAATCTTGGGAAAGAACAAAACTGGAGAACTGACACTTTCCAATTTCAAAACTTACATAAAAGCTACCATCACCCAGGTGCGTGGTTCACTCCTGTGATCCCAGCAATCTGGGAGGCCAGGGTGGGTGGACTGCTTGAGGCCAGCAGTTGGAGGCCAGCCTGTGCAAAATAGCGAAAGGCTGTCTCTGCTAAAAATACAATAAATTATCTGGCCATAGTGGCACATGCCTGTAATCCCAGCTATTCAGGAGGCTGAGGTGGGAGAATCACCTGAGCCCGGGAGGTAGAGGCCAAGATCACACCATTGCACTATAGCCTAGGCAACCAGAGCGAGACCCTGTCTCAAAAAAAAAAAGTACTGTCATACTGGCATAAAGAAAGCTATATAGATCAATGAAATAGAATTTAGAGTCTAAAAATAAATCCTCGTGTTTGTAGTCAACTGAATTTCAACAAATGTACCACGATCACTCAATGGGGAATGAATAGTCTTTTCAACAAATGGTACTAGGACAACTGAATGCACATGCAAAGAATGAAGTTGTACCCATACCTCACACTATAATCAAAAATTGACTCAGAGTGGATCTTAGACCTAAATGTAATAGTTAAAATTATAAAACCATTTGAAGAAAACTTGGGGTGAATCTTTGTGATATTGGACTAAGAAATCATTTCTTAAACGTGACAAAAAAATTGCAAGAAACCATGCAAATAAATAAATAAATTGGATTTCACAAAAACTAAAAACTTGTATTTCAAAAGACACTGTTAAGAAAGTGAAAGACACTTGACAAAATGGGAGAAAATATCTTTAATAACATCTGATATGGGACTTTTATCTAGAATATATAAAAACTTTTCCATCTCAATAATTTTAAAAATATAATAACCTAATTTAAAAACGGACAAAAGGTCTGAATATACTTTTATCCAAAGAGATACACAAATGACCAGTAAGCACAAGAGAAAATTATTTGATGTCAGGAAAATGCAAACCAAACCACATGGAACCACCTCAACCCCACTGGGATGGCTGGAATCAAAAAGATAAGAAACATTAGCAAGGTTGTGGAGAAAGTGGAATCCTCAAAACATTGTAGTGAGAATACGAAATGGTGCAGCAAATTTCATGCCTAGGTTTTCTTCTGAGAGTTTTATATTTTTAGCTCTTACATTTAGGTCTTTGATCCAGCCACGGTTTCTCCAAAGATTAAGCATACAGTTGCTGTATAATCCAGCAATTCTGCAGCCAAGTATATACCCAAGAGAAATAAAAACTTATCTATACACAAAAACTTGTACACAAATGTCCATACCAGCATTATTCATAACAGCCAAAACAGAAACAATCAAAACCAACAACTAATGAATGGAAATATAAAATATGATATAGCCACACCCAAATATTATTTGACCACATAAAGGAATGAGGTACTGATACATGCTATGTCAATGAACCTTGAAAACATTGTGCTAAGTGACAGAAGTCAGACAAACAAAGACCACATACTGTGTAATTTCATTTACATGAAATGTCTACAATAGCAAACCTATAGAGACAGACAGTATATTAGTGTTGACTAGAGCCACCCCAATACAGGGTGACTGTTAAGCATATGGTTGTCTTTTCAGGATGATGGAAATGTTCTGAAATTGGTTGTGGTGGTGGCTGCACAGCTCTGTGAAAAATACTAAAACTGTTGAATTGTATTTAAAATGTATGAGGGTACAATATGTGAATTAAACTCAATAAAAATGCTGTGAAAAATAAAATAAGCTAGATTCTAAATATTATAGTGAGGTCAAAGGAACAATGCACTTTTTAAATATAGTAATGAGGACATAGCCACTGGTCACTGAAACACCATAGACCTTACAATTCTCCTTAACCTGGAATTAATGGAGACAATTCATAGCATTAAGGAAACCCCCCTAAATGTGTACAAAAATGGAGAACTCATATAGTGTCATTTTTCTGGCAGTGTCCATATTTTAATGAGATTCTTAAATTAATTAGACCTCAGAACAATTGACCTAGCAGTAGAGAAGGTGGAGAGTACAAATAATTTGTTTCTTCCCTTCTCCAGTTTCCTCAAAGTATCTCATCTTCTTCACTTCACTCCATCTAGAACACATTATTCGAGCAGTCCTGCTAACATTCCATGGGCAATTTCATGGAAGTCACCTTCATCAGCATCTTTGACTCTGTCCCATTTTCACCTACTGACTGATTCTGCATTTCCACCTAGTGCTGTAAAGCGGTTGAATAAAATAATGGTGGCTTCAGAGGAAAGATTTTATTCTCTAGAGTTAACTCTTTTCAGTTTGTTCTGGATTGGGCCTCTTCTCAGTTCAAAGAGTACTTTGCACCTTAGTGTCCTGAAGCATCTATATTACCTTCCTCACAGTTTCCATATTGACCCTACCACTATTCAAATTCACCATCTGAATCTTTCCCTCCTCAGTTAAAGTTATCAAAGAGAATGTCTGCTCTCATTACTGAAATTTCCCACACAGGTCCTATCATTTGGCTCCTATCTGATCCTCTAACTGAAACTAATATCCATAGATTTTTGGCAATATGACAAAATGGACAACTTGATTTTATTTCAGAATCTGTTTCTGTAGCCCACACTTTCAGCAAGCTGAACTTCAAATATATGAAATGTCTTGTAGCAAGTTTTTGACCTCCATTCTCATTGTACATATCCTTCTACACAATTCCTAGGATTATTTTCTCTAATAATTATACGCATCCCACTCTTGTTAGGGCTCACACATATACCTGATCACATCAAAACTCTCCATGCCAGCATTCAGGTCTGCAGCTTACAGACACCTCCAATTCCATATTTGTCCGGATTTACTTTTGGTTCCATTCAGTTAAGGCCTCCCTTTTCCATCTCTTTGCCACCACACACCTCTGAACCTGTCATCACACTGTTCTGCACACCAAAAAATTGACTGCCCCGTTATTCATTGTAAATATTTTAACATTTACACCAAACATCAGGACATGCAGGAGGCCCACTTAGGTTAAACCCTTTCACCTCACTCTCCCATATGCTGTGTGATATGACCATGTCCACCTTCAATTTATGATGCTATATTTTGCATTTTCTATCTTATTTGTATTTCCCTTTCATCTAAGGCATGCATTCTGTCTTTTCTCAGATAAATTCTTAGTACCTAACAATGGTGCTCACATATAATTGTTTAACAATTCAATTATAAATTCTCCATGGTGCTTCATCCAGATCTATACACATGGTAAGTACATAAAGTGCTCATGAAGTGTTTCTTGCCTCACTATTTAAGCAATCGTTATAGAACTAATCAATGAACCACAAGATGCAGGCAAACAAATAACATTTTACCTGTTCCATTTTGATCAGGAAACAATCAATAAAGTCCCGAGCACTGTTCATGTCCAGGGATTCTTGATGTTCTTTTATTCTCTCCAATACATAACTTTTAATGTAAGCAAAATTTTCAGCTATTTTATTATGACTTCCTGGGAGATAATCGATGAGAGCAGGGAAATTATTGCAGACCTTAAAGATTTTTAAAAATTAATTAAATTAAACACATGTATTGAAGACATATGCCATAAGTCAACTGCTGGTTTAAAACTGGAGTGAATTTTTAAAAATTATCTCCCTCTGTAAGAGGAGCATTTGATTATACGTACAAAGTAGTCCTCTATACTGATAGAAAGATTTAAGTTAGAAAATTCTGAACAAGGGATCAAAGATGATAATTTTCTATACTCATATATTATTTTCAGAATATTAAAATAGCTTCATGTCAATTATCTCATTTTTGTACATTAATTCTTCTCCATAGCCTTGAAATATAGAATGCCATGAATTGCTTTAATTCCCATTTTACAGATAAGAACAGAGGGTAAGGAAATTTGAACAACATGAAATAGATCACAAAGCCATTCCCTGCTATTTCTACTCCTAGCAGGAAGCCTCAGAAATAGAATCACTCTTTTATAACTGGGAGGGGTACAAAGATACCATAAAATGTAACTCAGCATTTTATGGATAAGTACCCATACACCAGAGTAGTTAAGATACTTCCGTGAGTAGTTGAGATAATCACACAATTATCCTTTAGACAGAGTTCAGGACATGCTAGCTCAGCACAGCCAAAACTGTAATTTTTTAATGGTTCATACACCCCAAAATCCAATCATTTTGTCATCTTAACCTTAATTACCTTGCTGAAGCAGCAAACACCCCTATCCTATTCAGAACTTCCTGGTAGCATCTGTTCTCCAAAACCTCCTCCCCTTTTGCCAAATAATGTGATGAAGAGGTCTCTAGGTGTGAATTAGAGGAAAAGCCTGTGAGTAATGCCAGCTTTTCAACAAGGGACTTGGATTTCCATTGAGTGTGTGCTTTTGGGCAGTCACCAAAGTACTGCCAGAAACTGGATTTGGGGGTTTGGTGGGAAAAACCACCAGCTAATGGGCTTGAATTCCAGCTCTATATTCAGGCATTTCTTTTCTCATCTGTAAAATAAAGAAATCATCTATCTTTCCCAGATGTTAATGCCACAATGCTAAGATATGGGCAAGCTGTAGTGTTCAACCACTCACTTCACAGAATAATGCCCGCAAAATTGGCACAATAGACAGTTCCATGGGCCCATCTCTCCATAAAAACACCCAAAAATTCAAACAAAAAAGTCAGAATCAACTCTAACAGAACTCTGGAAATCAGTCAAAGGTTTATAGCAAACAAGGGAGAACTGAATAAAAAAAATGGCAACTTAAAAACAGTAGAAAAGCTTTGTGGGTTTTTATTTTTATTTTAAGCTCCAAGGTGCACGTGCAGGATGTGCAGGTTTGTTACATAGGTAAATGTGTGCCATGGTGGTTTACTGCACCTATAAACTCTTCACCTAGGTATTAAGCCCCGCACACATTAGCTATTTTTCCTAATGCTCTCCCTCCACCAACACCCCGGACAGGCCCTAGTGTGTGTTGTTCCCCTCCCTGGGTCCATGTGTTCTCCTTGTTCAGCTCCCACTTATGAATGAGAACATGTGGTGCTTGGTTTTCTGCTCCTGCATTAGTTTGCTGATGATAATGGCTTCCAGCTCCATCTGTGTCCCTGCAAAGGACATAATCTCATTCCTTTTTATGGCTACATAGTATTCCATGATGCATATGTAAGCTTTGTGGTATGTTTATTTGCACTTGTACCACCTCCCTCATCAGCTTGGCAGTGATCTTGTCAAGGGCAGCCCTGCTCGCAGTGGAAGGCCCTGGTTCCTATTTACAGAGGGACCACAGAAGACCTTACTTGCAAAAAATTATGTTTCTCTTTCTCACCTGTCTGAGGACTAACACGGGCTAACACGAGGCAGTCATCTTTGTTTCACCTGATTCAAAACTCACTCAGGATGGAAAAGCAATGGACATTTCTCAAAAATCTCCTAAGACAAATGAACAACCCAAAGCTACCTAGGGCAAACGATTATAGTTAAGGCACACAGTAGAGCACTAAAATCCTGAGAATAAAAGCTGGGAGACAGTTTCTTTGGAAAATGGGATGTTCAAAAGTGCCTATGTATACTAAGAAATTTAGAAAGTTATCAACATGCCCAGAGCGGGACAGGCTAGTTAGAAAAATGTGAGAAGATCCTGAACTTTCACCTCTGGCTGATATCCAGGCTCAACTTAAGCAGTAAGTGAAGGCTATGACAAGGAGTGCTCCAGCCAATCTGAAAGACCTTCCTTCCTTCCTTTCTTCCTTCATTCCTTTCCTCCTTCCTTCCTTTCCTTACTTCCTTCCATCTTTCTTCTGCTATTTATATATATAAATACATATATTTTTTCTATGTCTCTTTTTTGCCTCTCCACATTCAAGAAAATTTCTGTCAAAATTAGCTGAACATACGCTAAAGAAAAGACTTCAGAAACCACACATGACTTGCAAAAATAGTTTTGAAAAGTCACTAAAGGAAGCTATAGCCTTCAGAAGAAAAAAAATAAAAACTATAGCAGGCAACAAAACACCCTAAAGAGAGGAAAGACTCTGATTTCCAGAGCTACTATATAAGAGTATCCAAAATTTCCAGTTTTCAAACATTCACTTCACAGCTTGGTACATACAAAGTTCTGGACTGGGATTGGGGCAAGATGGCCAAATAAGAACAGCTCCAGTCTGTGGTTCCCAACGAGACCAATGCAGAAGGCCCGTGATTTCTGCATTTCCAACTGAGGTGCCCGGTTCATCTCACTGGGACTAGTTAGACAGTGGGTGCAGCCCACGGATGGCAAACAGAAGCAGGGTAGGGAATTGGCTCACCCAGGAAGCACAACGGGTTGGGGAACTCCCTCCCCTAGCCAAGGGAAGCCATGAGGGACAGTGCTATCCAGCCCAGATACTACAATTTTCCCACGGTCTTCGCAACCTGTCGCAACCCACAAACTAGGAGATTCCTTCAGATGCCTACACCACAAGGGCCCTGGGTTTCAAGCACAAAACTGGGTGGCCACTTGGCCAGACACCAAGCTAGCTACAAAAGTCTTTTTTTCATACCCCAGTGGCACCTGAATTCCAGTGAGACAGAACCATTCACTCCCCTGGAAAGGGGGCTGAAGCCAGGGAGCCAAGTGGTCTAGCTCACAGGATCCCACCCTCATGGGGCCCAGCAAGCTAAGATCCACTAGCTTGAAATTCTCACTGCCAGCACAGCAGTCTGAAGTCGACCTCGGATGCTCAAGCTTGATGGGAGGGAGGGGAGTCCACCATTACTGAGGTGTGAGTAGGCGGTTTTCCCCTCACAGTGTAAACAAAACCTCTGGGAAGATGAGTCTGGGCAGTGCCCACCGCAGCACCACAAAGCCCCTGTAGCCAGACTGTCTCTCTAGACTCCTCCTCTCTGGGCATGGCATCTGTGAAATAAAGGCAGCAGCCCCAGTAGGGGACTATAGATAAAACCACCTCTTCCTAGGACAGAGCACCTGGAGGAAGGGGTGGCTGTGGGCCCAGCTTCAGCAGACTTAAACGTTTCTGCCTGATGGCCCTGAAGAGAGCAGCAGATCTCCCAGCCTAGCCCTCAAGCTCTGCTAAGGGACAGACTGCCTCCTCAAGTGGGTCCCTGACCCCTGAGCCTCCTGAGAGGGAGACACCTCCCAGCACGGTTTGACAGATATGTCATACAGGAGAACTCTGGGTGGCATCTGGCTGGTGCCCCACCAGGATGAAGCTTCCAGAGGAAGGAGCAGGCAGCAATCTTTGCTGTTCTGCAGCCGCTGCTGGTGATACCCAGGCAAACAGGGTCTGGAGTGGACCCCCAGCAAACTCCAGCAGACCTGCAGAAGAGGGGCCTGACTGTTAGGAGGAAAACTAACAAACAGAAAGCAATAACATCAAAATCAACAAAATGGACGACCATGCAAAAACTCCATCCGAAGGTCACCAACAGCAAAGACCAAAGGTAGATAAATCCATGAAGATGAGGAAAAACCAGCACAAAAAGACTAAAAATTCCAAAAACCAGAATGCCTCTTCTCCTCCAAAGGATCACAACTCCTCAACAGCAAGGGAACAAAACTGGATGGAGAATGAGTTTGACAAACTGACAGAAGTAGGCTTCAGAAGATGTGTAATAACAAACTCCTCCAAGCTCAAGGAGTATGTTCTAACTCAATGCAAGGGAACTAAGAACCTTGATAAAAAGAGGAATTGCTAACTAGAATAACCAGTTTCAAGAAGAACATAAATGACCTGATGGAGTTGAAAAACAAAGCACAAGAACTTCATGAAGCATACACAACTATCAATAGCCAAATTGATCAAGCAGAAGAAAGGATAACAGACATTGAAGATCAACTTAATGAAATAAAGTGAGAATACAAGATTAGAGAAAAAAGAATGAAAAGGAGCGAACAAAGCCTCCAGGAAATATGGGACTAAGTGAAAAGACCAAACATATGTTTGATTGGTGTATCTGAAAGTGACGGGGAGAATGGAACCAAGTTGGAAAACACGCTTCAGGATACTATCCAGGAGAACTTCCCCAACCTAGCAAGACAGGCCAACATTCAAATTCAGGAAATACAGGAACATCACAAAGATACTCCTCGAGAATAGCAACCCCAAGACACACAATCATCATATGCACCAAGGTTGAAATGACGGAAAAAATATTGAGGGCAGCCAGAGAGAAAGGTTAGGTTGCCCACAAAGGGAAGCCCATTAGACTAACAGCAGATCTCTGTGCAGACACCAGACAAGCCAGAAGAGAGTGGGGGCCACTATTCAACATTTTTAAAGAAAAGAATTTTCAACCAAGAATTTCTTTTTTATTTTTTTTTTACCAGTGACATTGTTTTATGAAACAATTCTCAATACAGATTTACAGAAAGATTAATCCAAATTAAGCCTGTTTCTGTAATGCCACTGCCCAGTGAGTGCAATTTTTCATGAGGAAGACACTCTCTAAGCTATAGGCTTCAGACTTCTCCTAACTATCCTCTTCCTTCTCCTCTCCACCTCATTCTCTCTGCTGCTGTTTAGGTCAGGCTCATTCACTCCCAGCTTAGTGTGCTTTTCCCTTGGACAAGATGACAGAAAGTTGACCTGCCATCATAGTGTTTGAGTCCTTCCCAATCATGGGAAACTGGGAACAACTGTGTACACTCTGAGACTGTGTGGTAGAGGTGGAGAGGAATTTCTTTTTTTAATTATTTTTTATTATACTTTAAGTTTTAGGGTACATGTGCACAACGTGCAGGTTTGTTACATATGTATACATGTGCCATGTTGGTGTGCTGCACCCATTAACTCTTCATTTAACATTAGGTGTATCTCCTAATGCTATCCCTCCCCCTTTCCCCGCCCCACAACAGGCCCCAGTGTGTGATGTTCCCCTTCCCGTGTCCGTGTGTTCTCACTGTTCAATTCCCACCTATAAGTGAGAACATGCAGTGTTTGGTTTTTTGTCCTTGCGATAGTTTGCTGAGAATTATGGTTTCCAGCTTCATCCATGTCCTTACAAAGGACATGAACTCATCATTTTTTATGGCTGCATAGTATTCCATGGTGTATATGTGCCATATTTTCTTAATCCAATCTATCATTGTTGGATATTTGGTGTGGTTCCAAGTCTTTGCTATTGTGAATAATGCCACAATAAACATATGTGTGCATGTGTCTTTATAGTAGCATGTTTTATAATCCTTTGGGTATATACCCAGTAATGGGAAGGCTGGGTCAAATGGTACTTCTATTTCTAGATCACTGAGGAATCATCACACTGACTTCCACAATGGTTGAACTAGTTTACAGTCCCACCAACAGTGTAAAACTGTACCTATTTCTCCATATCCTCTCCAGCACCTGTTGTTTCCTGACTTTTTAATGATCACCATTCTAATTGGTGTGAGATGGTATCTCATTGTGGTTTGATTTGCATTTCTCTGATGGCCAGTGATGATGAGCATTTTTTCATGTGTCCTTTGGCTGCATAACTGTCTTCTTTTGAGAAGTGTCTGTTCATAACCTTTGCCCACTTTTTGATGGGGTTCTTTTTTTCTTGTAAATTAGTTTGAGTTCATTGTAGATTCTGGATATTAGCCTTTTGTCAGATGAGTAGATTGCAAAAATTTTCTCCCATTCTGTAGGTTGCCTGTTCACTCTGATGGTGGTTTGTTTTGCTGTGCAGAAGCTCTTTAGTTTAATTAGATCCATTTGTCAAATTTGGCTTTTGTTGCCATTGCTTTTGGTATTCCAGACATGAAGTCCTTGCCCATGCCTCTGTCCTGAATGGTATTGCCTAGGTTTTCTTCTACGGTTTTTATGGTTTTAGGTCTAACATTTAAGTATTGAATCCATCTTGAATTGTTCTATAAGGTGTAAGGAAGGCATCCAGTTTCAGCTTTCTACATATGGCTAGCCAGTTTTACCAGCACCATTTATTAAATAGGGAATCCTCTCCCCATTGCTTGTTTTTGTCAGGTTTGTCAAAGATCAGATGGTTGTAGATATGTGGCATTATTTCTGAGGGCTCTGTTCTGTTCCATTGGTCTATATCTCTGTTTTGGTAGCAGTACCATGCTGTTTTGCTTACTGTAGCCTTGTAGTATAGTTTGAAGTCAGGTAGTGTGATGCCTCCAGCTTTGTTCTTTCGGCTTAGGATTGACTTGGCAATGCGGGCTCTTTTTTGGTTCCATATGAACTTTAAAGTAGTTTTTTCCAATTCTGTGCAGAAAGTCATTGGTAGATTGATGGAAATGACATTGAATCTATAAATTACCTTGGGCAGTATGGCCGTCTTCATGATATTGATTCTTCCTACCCATGAGCAAGAAATGTTCCTCCATTTGTTTGTGTCCTCTTTTATTTCATTGAGGAGTGGTTTCTGGTTCTCCTTGAAGAGGTCCTTCACATCCCTTGGAAGTTGGATTCCTAGGTGTTTTATTCTCTTTGAAGCAATTTTGAATGGGAGTTCACTCATGATTTGGCTCTCTGTTTCTCTGTTATTGGTGTATAAGAATGCTTGTGAATTTTGCACATTTATTTTGTATCCTGAGACCTTGCTGAAGTTGCTTGTCAGCTTAAGGAGATTTTGGGCTGAGACAATGGGGTTTTCTAAATATACAATCATGTCATCTGCAAACAGGGAAAATTTTACTTCCTCCTTTACTAATTGAATATTTTTTATTTCCTTCTCCTGCCTGATTGCCCTGGCCAGAACCTCCAACACTAGTTGAATAGGAGTGATGAGAGAGGGCATCCCTGTCTTGTGCCTGTTTTCAAAGGGAATGCTTCCAGTTTGTGCCCATTCGGTATGATCAGCTTTGGGTTTGTCATAGATAGCTCTTATTATTTTCAGATACATCCCATCAATACCTAATTTATTGAAAGTTTTTAGCATGAAGGGTTGTTGAATTTTGTCAAAGGCCTTTTCTGCATCTATTGAGGTAATCATGTGGTTTTTGTCTTTGGTTCTATTTATATGCTGGATTACGTTTATTGATTTGTGTATGTTGAACCAGCCTTGCATCCCAGGGATGAAGCCCACTTCATCATAGTGGATAAGCTTTTTGATGTGCTGCTGGATTCGGTTTGCCAGTATTTTGTTGAGGATTTTTGCATCGATGTTCATCAGGGATATTGGTCTAAAGTTCTCTTTTTTTGTTGTGTCTCTGCCAGGCTTTGGTATCAGTATGATGCTGGCCTCACCAAATGCATTAGGGAGGATTCCCTCTTTTTCTATTGATTGGAATAGTTTCAGAAGGAATGGTACCAGCTCCTCCTTGTACCTATGATAGAATTCAGCTGTGAGTCCATCTGGTCCTGAACTTTTTTTGGTTGGTAAGTTATTAACTATTGCCTCAATTTCAGAGCCTGTTATTGGTCTATTCAGGGATTCAACTTCTTCCTGGTTTATTTTTGGGAGGGTGTATGTGTCGAGGAATTTATTCTTTTCTTCTAGATTTTCTAGTGTATTTGCATAGAGGTGTTTGTAGTATTCTCTGATGGTAGTTTGTGTTTCTGTGGGATTGGTGGTGATATCCCCTTTATCATTTTTTATTGCATCTAACTGATTCTTCTCTTTTCTTCTTTATTAGTCTTGCTAGTGGTCTATCAATTTTGTTGATCTTTTAAAAAAACCAGCTCCTGGATTCATTGATTTTTTGAAGGGTTTTTTGCATCTCTATCTCCTTCAGTTCTGCTCTGATCTTAGTTATTTCTTGCCTTCTGCTAGCTTTTGAATGTGTTTGCTCTTGCTTCTCTAGTTTTTTAAATTGTGATGTTAGCATGTCATTTTTAGATCTTTCCTGCTTTCTCTTGTGGGCATTTAGTGCTATACATTTCCCTCTACACACTGCTTTGAATATGTCCCAGAGATTCTGGTATGTTGTGTCTTTGTTCTCATTGGTTTCAAAGAACATTTTTATTTCTGCCTTCATTTCATTATGTACCAGTAGTCATTCAGGAGCAGTTTGTTCAGTTTCCATGTAGTTGAGGGGTTTTGAGTGAGTTTCTTAATCCTGAGTTCTAGTTTGATTGCACCATGGTCTGAGAGACAGTTTGTTATAATTTCTGTTCTCTTACATTTGCTGAGGAGTGCTTTACTTCCAACTATGTGGTCAATTTTGGAATAAGTGTGGTGTGGTGCTGAAAAGAATGTATATTCTGTTGATTTGGGGTGGAGAGTTCTGCAGATGTCTATTAGGTCTGCTTGGTGCAGAGCTGAGTTCAGTTCCTGGATATCCTTGTTAACCTTCTGTCTCCTTGATCTGTCTAATGTTGACAGTGGGGTGTTAAAGTCTCCCATTATTATTGTGTGGGAGTCTAAGTCTCTTCGTAGGTCTCTAAGGACTTGCTTTATGAATCTGGATGCTCCTGTATTGGGTGCATATATATTTAGGATCGTTAGCTCTTCTTGTTGAATTGATCCCTTTACCATTATGTAATGGCCTTGTTTGTCTCTTTTGATCTTTGTTGGTTTAAAGTCTGTTTTATCAGAGACTAGGATTGCAACCCCTGCCTTTCCTTGTTTTCCATTTGCTTGGTAGATCTTCCTCCATCCCTTTATTTTGAGCCTATGTATGTCTCTGTACATGAGATTGTTCTCCTGAATACAGCACACTGATGGATCTTGACTCTTTATCCAATTTGCCAGTCTGTGTCTTTTAATTGGAGCATTTAACCCATTTACATTTAAGGTTAATATTGTTATGTGTGAATTTGATCCTGTCATTATGATGTTAGTTGGTTATTTTGCTCGTTAGTTGATGCAGTTTCTTCCCAGCCTCGATGGTCTTTACAATTTGGTATGTTTTTGCAGTGGCTGGTACTGTTTGTTCCTTTCCATGTTTAGTGCTTCCTTCAGGAGCTCTTGTAGGGCAGGCGTGGTGGTGACAAAATCTCTCAGCATTTGCTTGTCTATAAATGATTTTATTTCTCCTTCACTTATGAAGCTTAGTTTGGCTGGATATGAAATTCTGGGTTGAAAATTCTTTTCTTTAAGAATGTTGAATATTGGCCCCCATTCTCTTCTAGCTTGTAGAGTTTCTGCTGAGAGATCAGCTGTTAGTCTGATGGGCTTCCCTTTGTGGGTAACCCAAGCTTTCTCTCTGGCTGCCCTTAACATTTTTTCCTTCATTTCAACTTCGGTGAATCTGACAATTATGTGTCTTGGAGTTGCTCTTCCCGAGGAGTATCTTTGTGGCATTCTCTGTATTTCCTGAATTTGAATATTGGCCTGCCTTGCTAGATTGGGGAAGTTCTCCTGGATAATATCGTGCAGAGTGTTTTCCAACTTGGTTCCATTCTCCCCGTCACTTTCAGGTACACCAATCAGACATAGATTTGGTCTTTTCACATAGTCCTATATTTCTTGGAGGCTTTGTTCATTTCTTCTTATTCTTTTTTTGCTAAACTTCTCTTCTCACTTCATTTCATTAATTTGATCTTCCACCACTGATACCCTTTCTTCCAGTTGATCAAATCGGCTACTGAGGCTTGTGCATTCATCACATAATTCTCGGGCCGTGGTTTTCAGCTCCATCAGGTCCTTTAAGGACTTTTCTGCATTGGTTATTCTAGTTAGCCATTCATCTAATTTTTTTTCAAGGTTTTTAACTTCTTTGCCATGGGTTTGAACTTCCTGCTTTAGCTTGGAGTAGTTTGATCGTCTGAAGTCTTCTTCTCTCAACTCGTCAAAGTCATTCTCTGTCCAGCTTTGTTCTGTTGCTGGTGAGGAGCTGCATTCCTTTGGGGGAGGAGAGGCACTCTGATTTTTAGAGTTTCCAGTTTTTCGGCTCTGTTTTTTCCCCATCTTTGTGGTTTTATCTACCTTTGGTCTTTGATGATGGTGACGTACAGATGGGGTTTTGGTGTGGATGTCCTTTCTATTTGTTAGTTTTCCTTCTAACAGTCAAGACCCTCAGCTGCAGGTCTGTTGGAGTTTGCTGGAGATCCACTCCAGACCTGTTTGCCCAGGTATCAGCAGCAGAGGTTGCAGAATAGCAGATATTGGTGAACAGCAAATGTTGCTACCTGATCGTTCCTCTGGAAGTTTTGTCTCAGAGGAGTACCCAGCCATGTGAGGTGTCAGTCTGCCCCTACTGGGGTGTGCCTCCCAGTTAGGCTACTGGGGGGTCAGGGACCCACTTAAGACGCAGTCTGTCCGTTCTCAGATCTCCAGCTGTGTGCTGGGAGAACCACTACTCTCTTCAAAGCTGTCAGACAGGGACATTTAAGTCTGCAGAGTTTTCTGCTGCCTTTTGTTTGGCTATGCCCTGCCCCCAGAGGTGGAGTCTACAGAGGCAGGCAGGCCTCCTTGAGCTGCGGTGGGCTCCACCCAGTTCCAGCTTCCCGGCCACTTTGTTTACCTACTCAAGCCTCAGTAATGGCAGGCCCCCCTCCCCCAGCCTCATTGCCATCTTGCAGTTTGATCTCAGACTGCTGTGCTATCAATGAGTGAGGTTTCATGGGTGTAGGACCCTCTGAGCTATGCAAAGGATATAATCTCCTGGTGTGCCATTTGCTAAGATCATTGGAAAAGCACCATATTAGGGTGGGAGTGACCCGATTTTCCAGGTGCCATCTGTCACCCCTTTCTTTGACTAGGAAAGGGAATTCCCTGACCCCTTGTGCTTCCCGGGTGAGGCAATGCCTCACCCTGCTTTGGCTCATGCTCATTGTGCTGCACCCACTGTCCTGTACCCACTGTTTGACACTGCCTAGTGAGATGAACCCAGTACCTCAGTTGGAAATGCAGAAATCATCTGTCTTCTGCCTCAACCCAGCATTTCACATCCAGCCAAACTAAGCTTCATAAGTGAAGGGGAAATAAAATCCTTTACAGACAAGCAAATGCTGAGAGAGTTCATGTCCTTGGCCGGGACATGGATGAAGCTGGAAACCATCATTCTCAGCAAACTAACACAGGAACAGAAAACCAAACACTGCATGTTTTCACTCTTAAGTGGGAGGTGAACAATGAGAACACATGGGCACAGGGAGGGGAACATCACACACCAGGGCCTGTTGGGTGATTGGGGGTAAAGGGAGGGATAGCATTAGGAGAAATACCTAATATAGATGACGGGTTAATGGGTGCAGCAAACCACCATGGCACATGTATACCCATGTGACAAACCTGCCCATTCTGCACACATATCCCAGAACTTAAAGTATAATTTTAAAAAATTAAAAAAATTGGACTGTCTGATAAAATAACAAAAATAATATCTCAGGAAGAGAAGCTCTTGATCTCACCTGGATCCATGGAGAGCTCAGAATCCTGAGGTTTTCATTGAATTTTTCCATCAAGTTAAGAAACCTCTGATCTTTATAATCAAATCGATCATGGAAAATAACAGAGCAGATCACATTGCAGGGAGCACAGCCCAGGATGAAAGTGGGATCACAGGGTGAGGCTAAAGGATTGGAAATATTTTAAATTACCATTAAAATATACATATAAAATACTTTGTCTTTGATACAGGAAAAAGTATTTTTAGAAACTCTAAACCAATACCTACCTAGAAATTCTCTTATCAACACAAACTACAGCATATTGAAATTTAATACCTCACTTTTTCCTTAAAACTGAATTAATCATTCCACCCTAGCTTGTTTAATAATGGTTTTCCAAATACTGCATTTACCGCACTGCCTTTCTTTACACAATTCTGACCCAAGATGCCTGTTATTTTGAAGAGAAAACAAAAAAAATTAAAGAGGCCACATTTAAAACCACCTAATAATTCAGGTCATCAGTGCAAAATAACATCTGTCTGAAAAGCTTGTAGACAATTGATTGATAGAGGAAGGGAGAAAATAGGAACCAGAAAACATCTTCTATATAACGAGTAGTTAAAGTAACTGTGTGTAGTACCAGCAGAGGGGGAGACTAAAGACAGAAAGGGTATGGGAAAATTCAGGTTGATGGAACAAATGTAAACAGGCAAAAGTCATCTATGTTATACAAGAAAAAATCTAACACAAATTAACACAAATAAGAAGATAGATTGGTTTGCCTAAAATAAAAGTAATAAGAAACTTTCATTTCAAACCTAAACTACAAATAGAGCAGACAGAAAAAGTTAAATTGACAGATGGAGTCCTTTTATTTCCTTATTTCAATATTCAAAGAAAAAAAAGGAATTTCCTGCTCTAAGAAATGGTGTCTATTATCACCAGGCACTATCTTCAATTTATTTGAACAAAGCCTGACCTCTTATAGAATCCTCGGTTATTGTTCTATCTAGCCATCAAAAAAATACCTTATGTTATTATAAACTTTTTAATTTGATCATCATTTAGGTAATTCCATCATATTACAAATCAATAAATTACTATAGAGGAAAGCTGATTTTCAGCTTGGATTACAAATTACCCTGATTTTTATTATCTCCCTGATACAGTTTGGATGTGTGTTCCCTTCAAATCTCATACTGAAATGTAAGGGCAATAAGAGGAAAGGGCAATTTTTAAATAAAATTGTTATAATCAAATCATCAATGAACTTTACATGTGAGAGTATCATGAATGTAATTAAGAGTGACTTGAACAAAAATGTTGTGCGGTAATGATGGGGAATTAAATAATGGGACCCTGTTTAGTTAACTGCTCCTATGCCAGGCTTCTTTTCAGCTGAAACATGCCAAGGGATGAAGTTTTCAGAAAATCTTTTATTTTAGCCTGGAAGGCAGGGGATAATTTTGGATTATTAGTTAGAGATTTCTGTGTGTGTGTGCATGCATGCATGCAAGTGTGTTTGTGCATGCATATGAACATGATGTAGTGAAAATCTGGTTTCTGGTCTTTCCTTTCACTTCATGTGGGGAAGTATATTAGGCTGTTCTTGCATTGCTATAAAGAAATACCTGAGACTAGGTAATTTATAAGAAAAGAGGTTTAATTGGCTCCTAGTTCTGCAGGCTGTACAGGAAGCGTGATGCAATCACGGCAGAAGGCAAAACAGGAGCTTTCACTCACATGGCAAAAGTCAAAGCAAAAAAGGGAGGTGGGAGGTGCTACACACTTTAGATTTCATGAAAACTCACTTGCTATCATGAGGACAGTACCAAAAGGGATGGTACTAAACTATTCATGAAAAATCCACCCCCATGATCCAATCACCTCTCACAAGGCCCCACCTCCAATATGGGGGATTACACTTTTTTTTATATACTTTAAATTTTAGGGTACATGTGCACAACGTGCAGGTTTGTTACATATGTATACGTGTGCCATGTTGGTGTGCTGCACCCATTAACTCGTCATTTAGCATTAGATATATCTCCTAATGCTATCCCTCCCCCCTTCCCCCACCCCACAACAGGCCCTGGTGTGTGATGTTCCCCTTCCTGTGTCCATGTGTTCTCATTGTTCAATTCCCACCTATGAGTGAGAACATGTGATGTTTGGTCTTGCGATAGTTTGCTCAGAATGATGGTTTCCAGCTTCATTCATGTCCTTACAAAGGACATGAACTCATCATTTTTTATGGCTGCATAGTATTCCATGGTGTATATGTGCCACATTTTCTTAATCCAGTCTATCGTTGTTGGACACTTGGGTTGGTTCCAAGTCTTTGTTATTGTGAATAGTGCCGCAATAAACATACCTGTGCATGTGTCTTTATAGCAGCATAATTTATAATCCTTTGGGTATATACCCAGTAATGGGATGGCTGGGTCATATGGCATTTCTAGTTCTAGATCCCTGAGGAATCGCCACACTGACTTCCACAATGGTTAAACTAGTTTACAGTCCCACCAACAGTGTAAAAGTGTTCCTATTTCTCCACATCCTCTCCAGCACCTGTTGCTTCCTGACTTTTTAATGATCGCCATTCTAACTGGTGTGAGATGATATCTCATTGTGGTTTTGATTTGCATTTCTCTGATGGCCAGTGATGATGAGCATTTTTCATGTGTTTTTGGCTGCATAAATGTCTTCTTTTGAGAATTGTCTGCTCATATCCTTTGCCCACTTTTTGATGGGGATCTTTTTTTTTTCTTGTAAATTTGTTTGAGTTCATTGTGATTCTGGATATTAGCCCTTTGTCAGATGAGTAGGTTGCAAAATTTTTCTCCCATTCAGTAGGTTGCTTGTTCATTCTCATGGTGGTTTCTTTTGCTGTGCAGAAGCTCTTTAGTTTAATTAGATCCCATTTGTCAATTTTGGCTTTTGTTGCCATTGTTTTTGGTGTTTTAGACATGAAGTCCTTGCCCATGCCTATGTCCTAAATGGTATTGCCTAGGTTTTCTTCTAGGATTTTTATGGTTTTACGTCTAACATTTAAGTCTTTAATCCATCTTGAATTAATTTTTGTATCAAGTGTAAGGAAGGGATCCAGTTTCAGCTTTCTACATATGGCTAGCCAGTTTTCCCAGCACCATTTATTAAATAGGGAATCCTTTCCCCATTGCTTGTTTTTGTCAGGTTTGACAAAGATCAGATAGTTGTAGATATGCAGCATTACTTCTGAGGGCTCTGTTCTGTTCCATTGGTCTATATCTCTGTTTTGGTACCAGTACCATGCTGTTTTGGTTACTGTAGCCTTGTAGTATAGTTTGAAGTCAGGTGGTGTGATGCCTCCAGCTTTGTTCTTTTGGCTTAGGATTGACTTGGCAATGCGGGCTCTTTTTTGGTTCCATATGAACTTTAAAGTAGTTTTTTCCAATTCTGTGAAGAAAGTCATTGTTAGCTTGATGGGGATGACATTGAATCTATAAATTACCTTGGGTGGTATGGCCATTTTCATGATATTCATTCTTCCTACCCATGAGCATGGAATGTTCTTCCATTTGTTTGTGTCCTCTTTTATTTCAGTGAGCAGTGGTTTGTAGTTCTCCTTGAAGAGGTCCTTCACATCCCTTGTAAGTTGGATTCCTAGGTATTTTATTCTCTTTGAAGCAATTGTGAATGGGAGTTCACTCATGATTTGGCTCTCTGTTTGTCTGCTATTGGTGTATAAGAATGCTTGTGAATTTTGCACATTTATTTTGTATCCTGAGACTTTACTGAAGTTGCTTATCAGCTTAAGGAGATTTTGGGCTGAGATGATGGGGTTTTCTAGATATACAATCATGTTATCTGCAAACAGCGAAAATTTGACTTCCTCTTTTCCTAATTGAATGCCCTTTATTTCCTTCTCCTGCCTGATTGCCCTGTCCAGAACTTCCGACACTATGTTGAACGGGAGTGGTGAGAGAGGGCATCCTTGTCTTGTGCCAGTTTTCAAAGGGAATGCTTCCAGTTTTTGTCCATTCAGTATGATATTGGCTGTGGGCTTGTCATAGATAGCTCTTATTATTTTGAGATACGTCCTATCAATACCTAATTTATTGAGTTTTTAGCATGAAGGGTTGTTGAATTTTGTCAAAGGCCTTTTCTGCATCTGTTGAGATAATCATGTGGTTTTTGTCTTTGGTTCTGTTTATATACTGGATTACTTTTATTGATTTTCATATGTTGGACCAGCCTTGCATCCCAGGGATGAAGCCTACTTGATTATGGTGGATAAGCTTTTTGTGTGTTGCTGGATTCAGTTTGCCAGTATTTTATTGAGGATTTTTGCATCAATGTTCACCAAGGATATTGGTCTAAAATTCTCTTTTTTTGTTGTGTCTCTGCCAGGCTTTGGTATCAGGATGATGCTGCCCTCATAAAATGAGTTAGAGAGGATTCCCTCTTTTTCTATTGATTGGAATAGTTTCAGAAGGAATGGTACCTTGTAGCTCTGATAGAATTCGGCTGTGAATCCATCTGGTCCTGGACTTTTTTTGGTTGGTAAGCTATTAATTATTGCCTCAATTTCAGAGACTGTTATTGGTCTATTCAGAGATTCAACTTCTTCCTGGTTTAGTCTTGGGAGAGTGTATGTGTCGAGAAATTTATCCATTTCTTCTAGATTTCCTAGTTTATTTGCATAGAGGTGTTTATAGTATTCTCTGTTGGTAGTTTGTTACATTTCAATATTAGATTTGAATGGGAACACACATCCAAACTATATCAGGGAGATAATAAAAATCAGGGTAATTTGTAATCCAAGCTGAAAACCAGACTCATTATGACAAGAACTTTATAGGTGAGTCCAACTTGGATGGGGAGAGGATAAATAAACTTTTACTCCCAAATCCAGTTGTTTTAAAATTCACCGAGGATTTTGTATCCATTTAGATATGGTGAGGTCAACCGATCAGGTTGCCCCAAAACAGACTTCCCTTGAAAAGATAGTTCATTACTCACGGTTCCTAAAGGAGGGGCACTCCACACCATGGAGTGCGGGGAGCCACATGGGGAAGTACCAGGGTTGGTCAGGAGGCAGCAAGAGCAAAAAGAAACCATGGGGCTGAGCCTTCATTGGGGTTTTCACAGGAAGAAATGAGTGAGATAGGGAGGGTAGACTGAGTAAGCCTGGGAATAGATAGTTTGAACAATTTCTGTGGGCTCTGGGATATAGGGGTGGCCATAGTTGTCCCATAACTGGCCCTATAATAATTTAAGACAAGGAGAATATAGTCAGCACTCTGTATCCATGGTGTATCATGGATTCAACCAACCCCAAATAAAAAATATTCAGAGCAAAAACAAGCATCTGTACAGAACATGTACGGACCTTTTTTCTTGTCAATATTCTCTAATATTGGGAAATATTATAAATAATATTGTCAATATTCTCCAATATATGGCAAATATTATGCCATATCTAAGGGACTTGAGCATATGTGGATTTTGGTATCCAAGAGGAGTCCTAGAACCAATGCCTTACTGATAAGGAGGGACAACTGTATTGGATTCATGTGTGAGAGTTTGGTAAAGAAGGTGGATGGGACTCTGGCTCTGGAGAGTGTGCTTTGTAAATCAGAGACATGCTGTGGACAAGACATTTGCTATCTCTAGGAACTGTCTGACTTTGGGAGCAGCAGTCCCTTCTAGGACCACAAAATCCCCAAGATGTTGAAGATTTCATAAAAATATAGAAAATAAAAAACATGATTAATACACAAGTAAAGATGAAGGAAAATATAAAGAAAGCTGAATACAGAGCTAATGGACAACTAGGGAAGGTAGGATAAAGAGTTATTAATAATACTTAAAATTTATTTAAATAAACATTTTATAACTTGGCATTTGTTTAAATTGAAAGACTATGCTATAGCATATATTTTCTTAAAATATATAAAACATTACAGTAAATAGTAACATTAAATAACACCAGCTGATAATTTTAATTACTTCTTAATTAACAGGGAAATTAAAATTGATAAAAGCTACACTAAAGATGCCTAGTCTCTTAAAACCATAGATAAGCATCATTATGGTAGAAATTGTAGACACAGACCTTAGAATAAACCCCCAGACATGTTAGTGAGACTGACTGTACAAATATAGACCAAACAAATGAAAGTACATGTCAGTTGTTCCATGCCCAAAAGATGTAAAGAAGTCATTCCCACTATGTCTGTGCCACAAGTATTCCTGGTGAAATGTTCTAGAATAGATAACCCACAATTACACTTTGGGAAAAACATTGCTCTTTAATAATTTGAAAAAAATGAGACAAAACCTTCTAAATTCATGCTGTAATGATTTGAAAACAAACCAAGCCTGGGACACAATAGGATTAAATGAGCCTTTTATACTCACAGCGTATGCATAGTCATTGTGTACAAACACAACAAGCATAGGTGCACAAAACCTCCCTTGGCTCTCTGCTTCAAACCTCCACCCTCCATATGAGGACTGACAACCACTATCATGAAAGATCTGGCTGCCCCTAGGAGGTTTCCAGGGATGTCATTAGAGAACATAGCAGTGTGTTAATGTCAAAGTATTGCGTATTTCAAGATAGCTAGAACACAGGTCTGTTCTCAAAATATAGAAATGATAAATGCTCAAAGTGATGCATATCCTAAACACCTAACTTGATCATTACACATTCTGTGCATGTAACAAAATATTACATGTACCCCATAAATATGCATAAAAGTTATGTATCAATCTAAAAATAAATTAAAATAAATTTTAGAAAACATTTTTCAGGAAAAAAAAAAGTCACCCACCATTGGTTTTTCTCAACTCCTCCACAAGGCAGCGGGCTTCCTCTTGAACACGGTCCTCGATGCTCCTCTTCCCCATCCCAAAATTCCGCAGAGTCATGAGGCAGAAACGCCGGATCTCCTTCCATCTCTTTCCATTGCTGAAAAGGATTCCTAGCAGAACAGAAAACAGAAGCTACGAGGGAGAATCCAAACAAGGACAAGAGAGCTGACACTCGGCAGCCACGTGGACAGGTCAAGTTCTGTCCCAGGAGCTCTTCAAGCCTGTTTTCCATCCTCCCCATCCCTATAGCCACTGCCCAGTACATACACATGTACACATACACACGATACATGCACATTTACCAAGTCCTTTGTTAACTTTTTCAGCCACTGGAAAACTTCCTCTTCCAGAAAACTCCTCTCCATGATCAATCAGGGCCTCCTTCACTGCTTCATATCCATGCAACACCACAATGGGCTTCAGGCCAAAATACACAGTGAACACAGGGCCATAGACTTTTGAGAACTAAACATAGAAAAGGAGGTTCAAATAGTAGCAAAACTCAGTATTTGGTCTATATATTGTCCGTGATTCAGACTGATATTATCATCATAATGTTGTTATGATTATTCTGTCAAATACAGCTTCAAATATTTGTATATTTTAGACAAAGATGATGATTATTGTTTTAGCTGCACATATACAGTGCCTTCAATGTGCCAAGCAAGTAGTATGCAGGCTATTAAACTTAATCATCACATCAACACCTTGTTTACTCTATTTTACAGATAAGACAGATTGTATTTTAAAGAATTTCAAATTCACTGCCAGTGTCCCACAGCTGATAAACAGAAGGTCCAAATTTGAAGCCTGCTTAGTCAAGCTGTGAGCCTGAGCAGTTTATCAGTTCCTAATGTCCATATTTTGACCAATAATCAGCTGCTGGGACACTGCTTCAGGATCTCCTGCAAAGCTCATCCCATAGGGATCCTGATGCAGGAGTCCTGTCATCAATACTAAAAAATCTACACCTTTTTAAATCACCCAAATGATTCTACTGCCCAGCCCACTTTGAGATCCACTGGTATAATCACCACAGAAGGAGAGTGGATCCAACAGAGATAGTATCAGGATGTGTGGCATCTCACAGAGGAAAAATGTTTTCCATGCTATACACTCATAGGTCACAGACAGCAGCTTTGTACAGAGGCCATAAATATTCTGTTACCACCCAGATGGCCCTGACTAATTAATTCTTTCTTTCATTCGTTTATGTTTATGATGAACTCATAGATATTTCTTTGACATCAGGCATGATTTGCTTTTTTAAGACGTTTAATGATCATGGCTAATCTAAGCAAAATACATAGCATATACAGTGACTGACTTCTCAAAATCTTTAATCACAAAACACTTCCACTACCATTTTCCTTCAGGCAAAAAAATATAGCAAATGACTGTGAAGCAAAGAAAGCAGCAGGCCTTTATCATTTTGATTCTACCTTACCACTTGAAATGTTTCTCTTCTGGCAAAATGCATTATTTTATTCCACTATTTCTGACAATGACAAAAAAGAAAAACATACTCCACAGGAAGTATTTGCTTTACAATAGCATACTTTAATAATCAGCCTCTGCTGGTACAGGAGGAATGCTGAGGAATGTTCCTATAACATATAACCTTTAATAACTGGCCTCCAGTAATACAGAAGTTTCTATGTGACATTAACGGTTATATGTGGCAAGCCCACAGCTAACATCATATTTAATGGTGAAAAGCTAAAAGCTTTTCCTCTAAGATCAGAAATAAGAGAAGAATGCCCCCTCTGACCATTTCTGTTCAACAGAGTACTGGAAGTCCTAGTCAGAGCAATTAGACTAAAGACAGAAAATATTCATATAGGAATATTCGTATAGGAAAGGATGTATTCATGTAGGAAAGGATGAAGTGAAATTGTCTGTTTCCTGATGAAATAATCTTATATGTAGAAAATCTAAAGACTTCAGTACAAAAGTGCTAGAACTGATAAACAAATTCAGTAAACTTGAAGGATAAAAAATCAACATGCAAAAATCAGTGGCATTTTTATACACTAGCAACAAAATATCTAAAAAAGAAATTAAGAGAACAATTAATTTATAGTAGCATCAAAAAATAAAATACTTATGAATAAATTTAATCAAGGAAGAGAAAGATCTATATACTGAAAACTACAAATCATTGATGAAAGAAATTGAAGATGACACAAATAAAGGCAAAGATATCCCATGTTCATGGATTGGAAAAACTAATAGTGGAAAAATGTCCATATTACCCAAAGCAATATACAGATTCAGTGCAATCCCTATCAAAATTTTAATCTCATTCTTCACAGAAATAGAAAAAAAATCTTAAAATTTGTATGGAACCACAAAAGACCCCAAATAACTAAAGCAAATTAATCAAAAAGAATAAAGCTGGAGGCATCACACCACTGAACTGCAAAATATGTTACAAAGCTATAGTAAGCAAAACTGCATAGCATTAGCATAAAAATAGACACACTGATTAAAGGAAAAGCGTAGAGAACCCTGAAATAAGCCCACACATCTATAATCAATTGATTTTTGACAAAGGTGCCAAGAACATACAATGGGGAAAGCACTCTTCAGCAAAAGGTGTTGGGAAAACTGGATATTCATATGCAAAGAATAAAAGAGAATCCTAATCTCACCCTTATACAAGAATTAACTCAAAATGAATTAAAGCCTTAAGCATAAGACCTGAAACTAAAAACTACTGAAAGAAACCATATAGAAAAACTCCATGACATTGGTCTAGGCAATGATTTCTTGGATATGATCCTAAAAGTACAGGCCATGAAAGCAAAACTAGACAAATGAGATTCTGACCACCCAAAATACTTAGAAACTCAAATTACTCAATAACAAATAAATAATTCTATTTAAAACGAGCAAAGGGGTCAAGTGCAATGGCTCATGTCTGTAATTCCAGCACTTTGAGAGACAAAGGTGGGTGGATTGCTTGAGCCCAAGAGTTCAAGACCAGCCTGGACAACATAATGAGACCACATCTCTACAAAGCATTAAAAAATTATCCAGGCATGGTGGCATACACCTGTAGCCCCAGCTACTTGGGGGTCTAAGGTAGAAGGATGGCTTGAGCCCAGGAGCTCAAGGCTGCAGGGACCATGATCCCATCACTACACTCCATCCTACAACAGAGCAAAACCCTGTCTCTATTAATTAATTAATTAATTAATTAATTAAATGGGCAAAGGATTTGAGTAGACATTTTTCAAAAAAAGACATACAAATGGCCAAGATATATTTTTTAAATACTCAACAAATTTAATCATCAGAGAAATGCAAATTAAAACCACAATGAGATAACTCATCACAACTCATAGATAAGATATTATTATTATCAAAAAGATAAAAAGATAACAAGTGTTGACAAAGATGTGGAATAAAGTGAACCTTGGGTATGTAAATTAGCATTGTGATTTGAGAAAACAGTATGGATGTTCCTAAAAAAAACAAAAATAGAACTATCAGATGATCCAGCAATCCCACTACCAGTATATACCCAAAGGAATTGAAGTCAGTATGTGGAAGACATGTCTGTACTTCCATGTTTATTGCAGTGCTATTGACAATAGCCAAGATATGGAAACAACCTAAGTGTTCATCAATAAATTAATGGATTTTGTATGTGACATATATGTACAATGAAATGCTATTCAGCCTTTTAAAGAGGAAAAAATATTCTTATTTATGACGGCATGGATGAATCTACAGAACATCATATTAATTAAATAAGCCAGGCAGAGAGAGGCAAATATCATATATGATCTCACTTCTATGTGGAATCTTAAAAAGTTAAACTCAGAGAAGTAGAGATTAGAATGGTGGCTACCAGAGGCTGGCAGGTGGAGATGGGCCAAATAAGGGGATACGTTGGTCAACAGGTACAGAGTTACACTTAGATAGGAGGAATAAGCTCGGGTGTTCTATTGGACAGCAAGGTGACTATAATTAATATTAATGTACTGTATATTTCAAAACAGCTAAAAAAGAGGATTTTAAATGTTCTCACTACAAAGAAATGACAAATATTTGAGATGATGGATATGCTAATTACCCTGATATGATCAATTCACAATCTATACATGTATCAAAATGTAATATTGTACCCCATTAATATATACAATTATCATTTATCACTTTAAAATGAAATAAAACTTTAAGAATTGTGAGGTTAAATACACCTTGTACATTACTGGAGGAACATAAAGCATACTTACATTGGTTAAGGATTTGCTCATGTCCTTAACATCTAACTGCAGGATATTTCCAATAATCGGGAGAGGAGTGGGGCCAGACGGGAGCCTCCCTCTTCCAGAGCTCTGCCTCCAGAGTGAAAGGAGAAACAAACAGGAGAGACAGAGCACCAGAGCCACAGCTGGATCCATTGAAGGCTTCTCTTCTTAGTAAGACAACTGCGGGCTTTCACTTCAAGGCTTTTATAACACTCCCTACTAATCCACCTGTGATTCTGACTCTGACTGTGACTAGTCAGCAAAAAGCACTTTAATCTCTCTTTTGAATGAACATTGGCTCACTGAAGAAGATAAAAATAAGGTGTTCTTTTTTCTTGTTCTTTCCGGTGCCCCACCCTGGAGATTCTGGTTTAACTAGTCTGAAGCAGAGCCCAGGATTTTGTTGTTGTTGTTGTTGTTTTTCCTTGAGATGGAGTTTCGCTCTTGTTGCCCAGGCTGGAGTGCAATGGCAAGATCTCAACTCACTGCAGCCTCCACTTCCTGGATTCGAACGATTCTGCCTCAGCTTCTGGCGTGGCTGGGATTACAGGAATGCACAACTACGCCCAGGTGATTTTGTATTTTTAGCAGAGACAGGGTTTCACCATGTTGGCCAGGCTGGTCTCCCTAAGTGCTGGGATTACAGGCATGAGCCACCGTGCCTGGCTAGGCCTAGGTTTTTTCAAACAGCCCAGGTGGTTCCACTGTGCAGCCAAAATTGAGAAACAATGAAATAAATTATTTCATCAAAAAATTATTCAAAATTTTGGATTTTTAGATTGATGAGCAGTTGGAAATATGACTTTGAGGGCAATCTGTGTATTATATTCCTTGTACATAAAATAATGTTTATCCTATTGAGAGGAGTTAGCCAGCTTGCATTAGGCAGGCAGTAAGGGAAGGGTCCCCAGAGAACCTCCAACCCTTCCAGGTCATTGCCCAATCCACAAAAACCCCAAGTACTTACACTAGATGTTTTGTGCAGATAAGGGAACTTGCACAGGGAGCTTGCCTAAATATGCCCACAGTGAAAAATTCCTACCTTTAACACATGCGCAGGAAGGGAAATAAATCAATATGGAGTGGCTTAGACTAAGAGCCCACACGCGCAATGGAAGGAAGGGGTGGAAACACCAGGAATTCACGCCTTATGCAAATAAGTATCCCAGCCTCATCAGCTTTTCTATAAAAGTCCTGGTATTCAACTGTGAAGTGGCAATCTGCAACCTGCTTTCAGGGCCTCTCTCTTTGCTGAGAGTTTTCCTTTCACTTAATAAATTCTACTCCACTCACTCTCCAGTGTCTGTGTGCCTAATTCTTCCTGCATAAGACAACTCGGACCTAGCTGAGCTAAGGATCTGCAAGACTGCAACACTATAATGCTTTCTCAAACACTAGATCATTTTCCTTGAAAATGAGATCCTTTTGAAATATTTTAATGTAGTACTAACATTACAGCTGCCTAAACATAAAGCAGCTAACAAACTCATTCATCTTAAATGGCTAAACCGGTTATCAATTAACTAAGTAAACATACACACCTTTTTCCATTAAACCCCGTGAAAAACACTGGACGGCTGAGAATATTATTTCATATTTTCCAAATGGGGAAAGGGAGACTCTAGGAGAACAGATGACCTGTCCAGTGTCCCACAGCTCATAAATGGCAGGCTGGGATTTGAACTGAGATCTTCTGACGCCCGCTGTGGTATATTCTCACTTACACCAGAGCTGCCTTGAGAACAGTTTTAGCAAAATAAAATAAATCCTAAAAACATTTCTCACTCTGAATCTACACCACACTGTTCACAAAATAACAGGGTTGTACATTCTCAAGAGAAGAAATAAAAGCTAGGGTTTCTCCCCTCTCTGTCACTGAAGAGCTGAAACCTACTCAGTATAACTGAGGAAAGAGCCAATCTCAGAGAATTAAGTGGGTAAGATCTCAGAAACTATGGCTTCTCCAGCTCCCACTTGCCTCCAGACACTGCTGTTTCTATTGCTTTTTTGGTCTGTGTCAGAAATAATGGAATGAAATATTGCACAGCAAGGAAGGGGAATTATAGGCAGAACAACAGGCATGTGCTTCAGTGGTGAATGGGAGGTAGGGAAATCATTAAACAGACCCATGGCACAGAACAAACACAGTTGTGCAGACCTGAACTGGAGATGACATTTAGCGCTCATGAGGCTCTATATATCACTAAAATGATACATACATTTCTAGATCACTAATGGCAATGCTTGTACAAAGGCATATTCTGTAAAGATGTCATTGTGGTATTCTAAATGACTAGTACAGTTATTTGTTTATTTCCATTGTATATATTTAAGGTATACAACATTGGTAGACATATAAACAGTGGAATCATTACTATGGTTAAACAAATTTACATATTAATCAATTCTATAATTAACTTCTTTTTTGTGGTATAAGCACCTAAAATCTACTCTTTTAGCAAATTTTCAGTATAGTATATTAACTATAGTCCTCTTGCTGTTTATTAGATCTTTAGACTTATTCATCCTATCTAACCACAAATTTGGCTCTTTGACACACTTTTTTCCATTTCCTCTGGCTCCCACTTTTGGTAACCACCATTCTACTCTCTGTTTCTATGTATTTGACTTTTTAAAGATTCTTCATATAAGTGAAATCATGCAATCTTTTTTCCTCTGTATCTAGCTCATATCACTTAGCATAATATCCTTCAGGTTCATTCCATGTCATTGCAAATGGCAGTATCTCCTTTTAAAGTTTAAAAAATATTTCATTGTGTATATAAATATAAAACACAATTTCTTCATCCATTTATTTGTGAATGAACACTTAGATTGTTTCTACATCCTGGCTATTGGAAATAATACTGGATTAGTGCAGTTATTTCTAACTGCAGTAAGGAAAAATTAAGTTTTGTCAAATCCCATATGGACAATGTTTTATCAAACATGTTTACAGGGATTCTGACAATTCACAGAGAATTTTTATACCCATCATAACTCTTTTGATTCTCTCAATTACCCTTGCCTGTGGTAAAATTATTTCCACTTTAGAGGTAAGGAAGCTGGGCCTTGGAGATTCAGTATTTTGTTCAAGGACACAGAGGCTGAAAATGATAGGGCTGAGGCTGGAAACCTATCTCCTAACTCTGACATCATTCCCTCCAAGCAAGAAATTCAGTTCAACTAGAGTCACCAACATTTACTTACCATGTACTATGAGGCAATATTTCACTACTCAGGATAATCAGTGACTTTCAAATACACATTAACCAACTCAACAGTTGCAACATAGGTTGATTACAATTAGGGTGTGGTTTTGTAACCTTTAGAATTTGAGTCAGTCGAGGTTTTGGTGAATAATTTATCTGAGACAAAGAAAAATAGTTATTTTACTGCTTGGCTCACATAGCTCTGAACTCTAAAAGAAGTGCACTACCTTCTTTTAGATAAAATGATCTCAATGCCTTTCTTTAAAACAATCACTTTATTTCTTGAAAAATGGGTCTCTGTTCCTCCTTTCTGTTGAGACTTCTGCCTGGTCCTTTCAAAGAATGAAAGAAACATAGATAATTAGAGACAAGAGATCTCAGAGATCCACCAGCCTAATCCCTACTTTATTATTAGAAATAAGGAATTGGTGAATAAGTGAGGTGAACGGTCGCTAGTGCATTAGTACATAATCTTTATTTTTTAAGAATCCAGGTTTTAATTCCCAGTTCAGTGATTCTCACATTGCAGAGATTTCCTATCATTGCCCAAATGGATGGTCAGGAGGGCACCTGGCTGAAGCCCTCCACAGTGAGAGAGTAATGCAAACCTCAGCTTGGGTGAAATTGTGAATGCAAACTGCTTCGTTTTAAATAAACCTTTTCACTGGAGTGTAGTATACAAAGAGAATGTTGGAAACATCCTAAATGTATATAGCTCAATGAATTATCATGAATTGAACATATCTGTGTAATCAACACACAGGTCAAGAAAAATAATTTTGCCAGGACCCCAGAAGTCCCTTTATGTCTCCTCCTACCTTCCTCCCCGACTAGATAACTCCAGTATTATGCCATAGGTTAGTTTTGCCTGTTTGTGAGGCATACAAATGTAATATAAATGGAATCACATTATGTATTTTTAAGTATCTAGTATTTTCACTTAATTTTGTGTTTGTGAGATTCATTCATGTTGTCACAAATAGCAGTACGTAAGTTAGTTTAGAGTGTTTTATTTTATAACAATTCCAAAATTTATCTTTTCATTGTATTGTTAAGGACTTTTGAGTTGATTCTAGTTTGTGGCTATTGTGAATAATGCTGTTATTACTCTAATACATTGTTATCCCAATATAAGGATTTCTGTTGCTATAACTATGAGCATAATTGCTGCATGTGCATGTGTTCAGTTTTATTAATGACTGCCAAAGAATTATCCAAATGGTTTAATAAATTTACAATTGTACTGAGAGTGCCAGCTGCTTCTCTTTCTTGCCAACCCTTAGCATATTGTCTTTTTTCATTTTAACCATTTTGATGTGTGTGTAATAATATCTTATTGTAGTTTTAATTTGCATTTCAGTGAAGGTTCATGATGCCGGGTGCTTTTTCAAATGTCCTTTGGCAATATCAAATCTTTTGTGAAGGGCTTGCATAGATTAGATATGAGTCCATTATTGGTTTTATGTGTATCACTTATCTACATATATGCATATCTATATATATGCATATCTATATATACACATATATACACAAATGCATATGTATTTTATATTTATATAATTTTAATAACTATAAATGTAATAAAAAGTTGGAGGTACAAACAGAGAATTTTCTCTATTTTGAACATTTGAGAGTAATTTTGGACCTGAAGTTCTAAACCTGAAATATTTTAGTATATAGCTCTTATAAGCAAGGCAATTTGACTATATAACCAAAATATAACTTTAAAATTCAGGAAATTAACATTGATGCATTAGGGCCATCTAATCCTCATTTCCATTAGTGTTTCCTCAATAAGTCCCAATGATATTCATTGTATTCATTTCAGAATCCAGTTTAGAATCCTGAATCACATTTTGCAACTAGTTGTCATGTCTCCTTAGTCAACCACAGCCTGACACAGTTCCTCAGTCTTTCCTCAACCTCCTTGACCTTGTCACTTTTGAAAAGCATAGGTTTGGAGTTTTAAAAATTTCTCTCAATTTGGGATTATCTGATGTTTCTTCATAATCAGATCCTGACTATGCAGATTTGGCAGGAATATCACAGATGATGCTTTGACTTCTCATTGCATCATATCTGGTGACAAATAATTTCAATCTGTTCCATGATGGTTGATGTTTACTTTGATTTTTGAGCCAAGATCGCACCATTGCACTCCAGCCTGGGTGACAAGAGCGAGACTTCATCTCAAAAAAAAAAGAAATACTTTGTGGGCAGATTCTTGATACTACATAACTATATATTCCTCATCAAGTTTTTAATGTATTCATGTATTTATTTATATCATTACGGAATCACGAATTCAGTTGTGTTCAATGGGTTATAATCCATTATAACATTATTTACTTTGGTGCTCAAATTATCTTCTAATGACTGGATTCTGTGTCCTTTTGTCATGTCCCCCTCAATCCTTAAGCAATTCCTTACTTCCTGGCACAGCAAGATATTCCAGGCTCATCTTTTCCTTTTTTTTTTTTTTTTTTTTTTTTTTTTTTTTTTTGAGACAGAGTCTCACTCTGTCACCCAGGCTGGAATGCAGTGGTGAGATCTTGGCTCATTGCAACCTCTGCCTCCTGGGTTCAAGCAATCCTCCTGCCTCAGCTGGGATTACAAGCACCTACTGTGGATTCTCACTAAAGAGGGAGGAAGACTTAGATTTGTGACTCTTTGCCTCTATTCCAACTCATCAGGAGACCTGATGGCCACTGGGGCCCTCAAACACTTCATAAGAAAAATTATCCTATCCCAATATCACCTCCTTGCCAAAATGCTGTCTTTGGGCTTCACCTGCTAATGTTATCATTGGCATCTTCCACAAAAGCTTGGGTGTGGGACTTTGCTGCTTGAGGACAAAGTACAGAGGTAGTTCTGCTCAGCAGCCACAGGGGGCAAAAACAGAGTTAAGCAGATCCCCAGGGTTGGCATGTGGAAAGGTGTGGGAGAAAAAAGCACAGCTGAGGAATTCAGGCAACAAGTCCTGGGTCTGAGGCTCAGACCCTTCTTACACTACAAATGACAGATGAGGTTGTACTGATTCTGAGCCTGGTCCAGAGCCACAAACATTTTCAGCAAAGCAGCTGTCAGACTTCTCAGCAGAACTGTGTCACAGATCCTTGGTGTCAGCCAGATCAAAGTTTGTAATGAGACTGTAGAAACTGCAGACTGTTTGACCACCACAGAGTCTCAGGTTTCCTACCTGTATGTGGATGCAACATAGAAGTAGGCAGTTCTTGCATTGCTATAAAGAAATACCTGAGGCTGCGTGAGGTGGCTCACATCTGTAATCTCAGCACTTTGGGAGGCCAAGGCAGGTGGATTGCTTGAGTCCAACAGTTCAAGACCAGCCTGGGCAACTTGGCGAGACCCCATATCTACTAAAATACAAAAAATTAGCCAGGCATGGTGGCACGTGCCTGTAATTCCAGCTCCTTGGGAGTCTGAGGCATGAGAATCACTTGGACCCTGGAAGCAGAGGTTGCAGTGAGCCAAGATGGCACCACTTTACTGCAGCCTGGGTGACAAAGTAAGAACCTGTCTCAAAAAAAAAAAAAAAAAAGAAAGGAAAGAAAGAAATGCATGAGACTGGGTAATTTATAAAGAAAAGAGGTTTAATTGGCTCACAGCTCTTCAGGCTGTCCAGGAAGCATGGCGCCAGCATCTGCTTGGCTTCTGGGGAGGTCTCAGGAAGCTTTCAATCATGGCAGAGGGCAAAAGGAGGATCTGGCATCTCACAGGGTGAAAATGAGAACAGAAGGGAGAGTGGGAGTTGGGGGGCTTGCCACACATTGTAAAACAACCAGACCTCACACAAACTCACTCACTATCACAAAGACAACACCAAGCCTGAAGCCATAAGGGATCTACCCCCATTACCCAAACATCTCCCACCAGGCCCCATCCCCAATATTAGGGATTACATTTCAACATGAGATTTGGGTGGGACAAATATCCAAATCATATCAATGCCTATCAGAGGGCTTGGGAAGCTTCCAATATAAATAGTCTTTGGAATTAGCGGCGGAGCTGCCCAGCCTAATTCCCAGTGACTCATTTAAGGGCAGACTCTTTGGGGCTGTTGAGCAAAAAGGGTGTTGTAGGCAAGAGGGGCCCTCTCATTTCTGTTCACTGATAACAGTATAAGAGTTTCACTTTCTAATAATGGTGCAGTCACTAGTCCAGCCTCACTTTCTCACAGATAACAATTATTAAATCTGAACAACTTATTCATCAGAAAATAGTTCATAGAATGCATTCAAAAGCCACTCAAATCAAGCAGATCTTAGAGGGGATTACCTGAGAAGCAGAAACTACAAGAAGTGAGTTCTCTACATGTACAGCTTTTCAATTGAGGACAGGCCACAAGATGCATTAAGTATTAAACTCCACACAAATGACACAGGATAAAATAGGAAATCTGAAAGCAATGTTGGTTAAAGAAATTGATTTTATAATCAAAATTGACCACACAAAGTCAACTTCAACTTTAGATGAGTTTCCTCACAAATTCTATCAAATTGAAGGAAGTAAAAACACCAGCCTTACAACTCTCTCAGAAGAGGAGGAAGAAAGAACACTTCCTGATTTGTTGTAGAACACCATTCCCACCCTGACACCAAACATGGCAAAGGCATCATATGAAATAACATACCAGTATGTCTCAAGAGCATGTTTATACAAATTGTTAACAAAAGGTACATATATTGATCCAGCAATATGTGACAAGAACAAGACAACATAACCAATGGTATTTATCAACAGAAAGGCATGTTAAGTTTTTAAAATCCATATTTGAAGTCCACCTTTGTTAACTAAATGATAAATTTAAGCATAAATTCACCTCAATATACTCAAGAAAATCATTTGAAAAAATTCATCACCATTTCATTATGGGGGAAAAAAACTCTCAGCAAAATTAAAATAGAAGGGGATTTCCTGTATGTAATAAAGTTTATCTATAAAGAGTCTGAACTAGCTTTATCTTTAATGGTGAAGGATAGAAAAATTTCCCAACAGTTTTAAGAACAAGGTAAGCTCTCATCACTTGTACTCTACATTAGGTGGAGGACTTAGTAAGTGCAACATGACAAAGAAAAGAGAAAACAAATCAGAATATTGGAAAGGAAAAAGTAAAATTTTCCCTCTTCACAAAGGCTTGAACTTACATGTAGAAAACTTAACCCATTTGTTCTTAAAAACTACTTGCAATAAAATGTGCCTGAGATTGGTTTTAATCAGGTATGGTAGGACACACAGACACAGAAATTCTTGTCATGAAGGAAGAGCTTTTTACTCACCATTCCCTACAAACAAGATTCCCCACATGATGCAGGCCACATGGGAAGCACCCATGTTGGTCAGGAGCCAGAAGAGGGGCATAGGAGAAGCAGGAGCAAAAGCCTTTGTTGCAGTTTCTGTGGGAAGGAACGGGCAAGACCAAGTAGGTAAGCTGAGTAAGTTTAGGACTGGCTAGTTTGAATTATCTCAGCAGGCTCTGGGGTGTAGGAACTGACCCTAGCTGCCCTGGGATGATTAGGACAGGAATATTGTGTCTTGGAGTGTAAGAGCTGGATAGAGAAGATGGGTGAGAGTATGGACTCAGGATTGCTTGGTCTGCATGGCATGCTCACAGGAAAGTCATTTACTATCTCTAGGAATTAGTTAACCCCAAGAGGGAGAAGCAATCTCTCCCTGATCAGTGAGGACCCGATGTTAAAACTTTGTAAAACATAAAAAATTAAAAGCACAATTAGAATGATTTGTCCTCTGATGGTTTGACATCACATTAAGGGAACTTTAAGGTGATAATAGTGGGGACTTTTAAAAAGTAGGGCATATGTTGCCCTCAACAGCACAGAAAATATTGTGTTATGACAGTAGAAAGGAGCAATACAACTAGAGGTATAAGGAGTCCTAAGTTCCCACTTATATGGCATTAGTCAATAAAATGGGTCTAAAATTTTGGGGGGTTTCTAACAACATCTTTGTGGAGCTGTAAAGTGAAAATATGAGTTTGACAATAATATCTCATTGTATTTCTCAAGTTTAGGTGGCAGGTCCAGCAGTTATATTGTTGGAGAGTATGAACCAGTAAGTCAGTAAAGTATATGTAAAGTGATGTGGTTGTCGTGTGTAACTAAGGGGAAAAGGGGGTTATAGTTAGAGATGCAGGGCAGAAGGCCATGGTGAAAGCTGGAGAAGTGCTAATGGGAGAAGGCATGGAGGAGTGCATGGTTCTCTCTCCAGGGACCAAGGGGTTAACTGAGATGAGGCAGGTGCTCCCTGGGGAAAGCCATAATCTCCTCTAATTTTTAGAATGGCAGATAGTATTAACCCTGTCTTAGTCCATTTGGGCTACTATAACAAAAATGCCTTAGACCAGATGAGTTATAAACAATGGAAATTTATTTCTCACAGCACTTGAGGCAGGGAAATCCAAGATCAGGGTGCTGGCAGATTCAGCATCTGCTGTGGGGCCATTTTCTGATTCATAGTTGGCTACTTCTTGCTGTGTTCACACATAACAGGAGGGACAAAGGAGCTCTCTGGAGCCTCTTTTATCAGGGCATTATCCCATTCACCTCCAAGAGGCCCCACCTTCAAATACCATCACACTGGGGATTAGGTTTCAACATATGAATTTTGGAGGGACACAAACTTTCAGTCAATAGCAAACCTCTAAACCTCTACCTGATTTTCCTTTAGGCATAGGAGTGTTAAGGATGTACATTTTGGCAGACAGCAAGGAGAATACCAGGATCATAGGCTAAACAGTCAACAAGCTCAGAAACATAATAGGACCTCTAATACCAGAGAAAGAAAAGCGATAAATGTCCTGTGTTCAATTTGTGCCTTGAGAAAGATAATCCATGGGTGTTGCTGGGGCAGAGGTTTTAGTATCTAGGATGAAATCATCCCTGATAAAAGGGTGAAGTCATCTCCAATGATTAGGTCTTGGACTTGAGTGATGTCATCTGAGGTGATGTAATCTCCAGCAGTGAACTCCTGGGCCAAGGTGATGTCATCTGGGATGTGGGATCATGGTGTCCCTTCTAAGGGCATACACATTTGAGTGAATATGGGTCTTCATATTTACCATGCTTGGTTGAAACAATGGCCTATGGCCAGGTGTAGTGGCTCACACCTGCAATCCCAGCACTTTGGGGGGCCAAAGCAGGCGGATCGCTTGAGCCCAGGAGTTAGAGACCGGCTTGGGCAACATAGTGAAACCCTGTCTCTACTAAAAATACAAAAATTTTCTGGGTATGGTGGCATGCACATGTGGACCCAACTACTCAGGAGGCTGAGATGGAAGGATCGCTTGAGCCTGGGAGGTCGAGACTGCAGTGAGCTATGATCATGCCACTGCGCTCCAGCCTGGGTGACAAAGCAAGATCTTGTCTCAAAAAAAAAAAAAAGAAGAAGAAAAGAAAAAGGTAACAATGTCTTATTTGAAGAGCTCCATAATAGACCCTTATAATAGGGCTCCATTTATAAACCAATGAAAGCACCCAGACTACTAGTAATAAGGCCAACAGTCACCAGAATCATATGTAGCTGCACTAGACAGGTTTTTGTTTCTTAGTTTTCCTGTAGTTTTTCTGTGGAAGTTTATGCTCAAATGGGTCCCCTATGAGATGAGCAGCTGCCCGGCCCGTGGGACAGTCTATGGTTTTTTCTTCATAAGTATTTCTATAATCTATATATTTATTTTTAGTGTAAAATACTTTCTTATATGAGTGGTTTTACTTTGTTCACTTTGCATTTTTCAAAAATGGAGTGCTGGCAAATTCCGTGTCTGGTGAGGGTTCACTTTCTGGTTCATACATGGCTCCTTCTCTCTGTATTCACACATAACAAAAGGGACAAGGGGACTTTCCTCACTTTGCACTTTTTTTAATTAAAAAAATTTCTTAATTTTTTTTAAAAAATGCAAAGTGAAGAAAGTAAAACCACTCATAAAAGTATTTAAATGACAAATAATAATTGCATATATTTATGGGGTGCAATGCAATATTTTTATATATGTATTTGACATATATGTATATTGTGGAATGATTAAATCAAGCTAATTAACATATCCGTCACCTCACCTACTTATTTTTGTATGGTGTGAATATTTAAAAATCTACTCTTGCAGCAATTTTGAAATAACCTGAATGTAATATAATTTTTAGGATAGTAATAGTAAATCAATATTATTTAAATTATTCTCATTTGTGATGGTTAGCTTGATGCATCAACTTGTTTAGGCTGTAGTACCCAGGTTATTCAATCTAGCAGTAATGTGGTATTGCTGTAGAGGTATTTTGTAGATATAGTTAACATCTATAGTCACTCGATTTTCAGCAAAGGAGATTATCCTTGATCATGTGGACAAGGCTCATTCTATTAATTGAAAGGCCTTTAAGAGCAAAACCTGCCACCTTAACTTGAGAAATACAATGAGATATTATTGTCAAACTCATATTTTCACTTTACAGCTCCACAAAGATATTGTTAGAAATCCCCCAAAATTTTAGACCCATTTTATTGACTAATGCCATATAAGTGGGAACTTAGGACTCCTTATACCTCTAGTTGTGTTGCTCCTTTCTACAGAAGTAGAAGGAATTCCACCTAGGAACTACAGCATCGTGTTTTTGCCGAAGAGTTTCCAGCCTCCATGGTTGCCCTATAGATTTTGGACTTGTCAGCCCATACAAACAGTAAGCCAATCCGTGTGTGTGTGTGTGTGTGTGTGTGTGTGTGTGTGTGTGTGTTTCGTATTGGTTCTGTTTCTCTGAAGAAACCTCAATAACACAGATTTTAGTATGTAGAGTGGTTCTAAAGGAACAGAATCTTAAGGATGAGTTTTCTAAATTAGTTCTGGTCTGTCTGAAATTGGTTCTCTTATCTGATTAGATTTAAAGGCACTAATGACTTTATTTCCAGTGATAATGAAATCATTGGTCATGGCATAATGTGGCAATAGAAATATGCAAGATACTGCCATTGGAATCTCATAATTAAATATTTATAAAGGGCAAGGTCTGAGTGCCACATATTTGATACCTTAGGACATGTTAGTAAAAATAATGAATATAATGACTGGCTGGCTGCTCCTAACTGCTCTGGAGAAAGTGGGGATAGAAAAGGATGATCTCAGGGCTTCAAATTCTCAACTCAGGGCTTCAATTTCCACATAAGCTCCACATAAATGACCCGAAAGTGTCTATGTCTGCCTTGAAAGAAATGCTTAAGGCAGGGTGCAGTAGCTCATGGCTGTAATTCCAGCAATTTGGAAGGCCAAGTAGGGTGTATCGCTTGAGCCCAGGAGTTTGAGACTAGCCTAAGCAACAAGGCAAAACCCCATCTCTACAAAATATATATATATATATATTAGCCAGTTGTGGTGGAGTGTGCTACAGTACCAGCTACTCAGGAGGCTCAGGTGAGAGGATCACTTGAGCCCAGGAGGTTGAGGCTGCAGCGGGTTGTGATCGCACCACTGCCCTCCAGCCTGGGCAACAGAAGTGAGACTCCATCTCAAAAAAAAAAGAGAAAGAAATCCTTATCTCCTGTAGCTACAAGGCTAAGATTGCTGAAAATCAAACCCAGACTTTCATCCTGTAAGTGGCAAAATTACAACACAAATTGAATTCCGAACATTTCAGGGTGTCTTCTGCTAAAGTGAGGGCTTGGACTTGGAAGGAATGGAATTGTGAACATTGGAATAGGAGCACACAGAGCAGATCTCAATGCAGCTGGGGAGACTGAACCTTAAAATCTGTTGTGTCTCCTTTGCCAGTAGAAGCAGCCCTTCAGCCCTGTCTGTGGAGGTTATTATTGTTTTGCCTGAAGAACCTGTAATGGCCTCCCTTGAGGCCTTGTATGGCACTGGAGGGCCCCAACCAACCTTCTTTGCTTCTAGACCTACAATTAGACTCAAGCCCCAGCAGGCCTGGAAGGGTAACCCATGAAGGGGTAGCCTAAACACCAAAATGATTGCATGATATTTCCAATTCATGCAGATAGTAATCTGGGGAATATGTGTAAGAGTGGAAACTAAGAGTGTGGGATAATGGTGAATGGAATACAAAGTTAGATCAGGCCAGTTTATTGACATGAGTTCACTAAGCAGAAATTCCAAATTCAATGTTGTAGCTTGATGGGCTAGAAAAAGCCTAACAGTTTGTTTGGTTGGTGGTTGCTTGGCTGAAACACAGAATAAAAAATGGCCTAAACTAAACAAAGTTAATGTGCCAGAACTGCTTGGTACACTGTAGAGGAAGGGATTCAAAGACTTAGACTCAAATGTCAGAGTGAATTTATCTTATCAGAACTGCTCACACATCCCTAGTGGGGTCCAGTGGATCACCATTCAGCACAGCTATGAGAAATAAATTTGTAAAGCGATCCCCAGCATCCTTGAAGAACTCTGTGGTTTTTCTTCTCTATAAGTCAGAAATTACAATGCGAACTGAACCAGAATCCTTCAATGCAATGAGGATAATTGAATCCCAGGTTAACAAGGGCCAAATTGTAGCACTTAGCCACCAAAGACGAAACGTTCGTAGTTATCATAATGGACAGTGGAGTTAAAGCAATAATCAGAATAATCTGACTCTTATCTACTTATGGCACTGGTCACAGTGTCCCTACAAGAGGAATGGATGACCGGTCTACCAAATTCTCAGCTGGTCTGTATAGACATTAGGAGAGTTCTAGAGTGAGTGAACAGAAGTCTAACTTGAATCACCCAAACATTGAGTCATGACCCCTCAATCTATTCCCGGATTTGAGACAGTTTGCAGACCTAGAACCCGTTGAAGAGGCATCCAGTTCCCCTTAAAGAATTGCCCTGCTAAATTCCAAAAAATGTATACTGTGAATCTTTCTTCCAGACTTTCCCAAAGTCTGATGTTTTACCACAGTGAATGAAGTTACTGTAACTGGATCTAAATTGACAGTAATTCTGAGTGACCCCAAATACCACTTTGATCCACCAGTCAGAGTAAAGTCTTATGGAAGTCAGGTGATCAATGGAGGTTTAGCTCAGGTCTGTCTCCCAGTGAGCCCAGTAGGGTTTCAAAATCATCTTGTGTTTATTTCCCCTGTTCCAGAATGCATAATGTAAATAAATGTACTCAGCAACTGGTAGGATTCCCAAATTGCTTCCCCAAGCTATATAGTGGCAGCTATTATGGTAGGAAAGACCAAGTAGAAGTCCCTAGAACTTCCTCTACCTAGGAAAATGGAAACTAAAAGCAATACCACATTCCTGGAAGGATTGCAGTGATTATTTTCACCATCAGGAATTGAAAGATGCAGTGATGGTGATTCCCACCACATCCTCACTCAACTCACCTATTTGGCCTATGAAGAAAACAAATGGATCTGGAGAATGACAGTGAATTATCACAATCTTAACCAGGTGGCAACTCCATCTAAAGCCATTGTTCCAGATATTATTTCATTGTTTGAGCAAAATTAAGACATCCTCTGATAACTGGTATGCAGCTATTGACCTGGCAAATACTTTTTTTGATACATGTTAGTAAATACCACCAGAATCAGTTTGCTTTAAGCTGGGAAAGCCAGTACCAGCCCTTTCACTCTCCTACTTCAGGAGTCTATCAATTTTCCAAACTTGTGTCATAATTTAATCCATAGGTACTTCGATCACCTTTCCCTTCTCTAAGGCATCACACTGGTCATTACATTGATGATATTACATTGCCTGGACCTACATGAAGAAGTGGCCCAAATGCCCATTGTCCCCACTCTGGATACATTACCTTCTCTCTTCCAGCTTACTATGGCCTCACAGAGAGTTTCCTATGATCAGGTGACTAAGGAAGAGAAAACTTGGGGCTGGTTTACAGGTAGTTCAGCATGGCATGCAGGCGTCACCTGAAAGTGGACAGCTGAAGCACTACAACACCTTTCTGGAACATCCCTGAAGGTCAGTGATGAGGCAACATGCTCCAGGTAGGTAGAACTTCAAGCAGTGTACCTACTTGTTCATTTTGCTTGGAAGGCCAGAGGTACAAGTCTATACCATTTCATGAGTTGTGGCCGGTGGTTTTACTGGGTAGACAAGGGTTTGGAAGAAAAATGTCTAGAAAATTAGTAACTAGGAGAGCTGGGGCTGAAGTATCTGGAAAGAACTCTCTGAATGGAAAAAGAGTAAGAAGATATTTGTGCCCCCATGTCAGTGCTCACTACAAGGTGACCTTGGCAGGGAAGGATTTTAATCATCAGGTGGATACAACAACCCTTTTTGTGAATACTAGTTAGCCTCTCCTCAGCTACTCCTGTTATTGCTTAATTGGCTCATGAAGAAAGTAGCTACAGTGGCAGGGACAGAGGTTATGCACGGGCTCAGCAACATGGACTTCCACTAACCAAGGCCAACATGGCTACAGCCACTGCTGAGTGTTCAACTTGCCAACAGAGACCAACACTGAGCCTCAGCATGGCACCATTCCTCAGGGTGATCAGCCAGACATCTAGTAGCAGGTTGATTATACTGAACCACATTCATCATGGAAAGAGCAGCATTTTGTTCTTACGATAACAAACACTTACTCTGGATACAATGCATCTGCCAAAGCACCATCTGTAAACTTACAGAATAGAGTGTCTTATCCACCCATCATGGTAATCCACAAAGCATTACTTCTGATCAAGGAACTCACTTCACTACAAATGAAGTGCAATGATGGGTCCATGCTTATAGAATTCATTGGTCTTACCATGTTCCCCATCATCTTGAAACAGTTGGCATGATAGAATGCTGGAATGGCCTTTGGAAGAAACCTATAGTGCCAAGTTGGTGACAATATCTTGCATGACTGGAGCAGTGTCCTCCAGGAGGATGTATGTGCTCTAAATCAGCATTCAACATACAGAGCTGTTTCTTCCCTAGCCAGGATTAATGGGTCCAGAAATCAAGGTATGAAAATGAGAATGGCATCACTCACTATTCCCACTAGTGATCCACTAGCAAAATTTTTTATTCCTGTTTTTATAAACTTATGCTCTGCTAGTCTAGAGACCTTAGTTTTAGACAAAATTGTTCCCACCAGGAGACACAACAATAATTCCATTAAACTATGAGTTAAAATTCCCACTCAGTCACTTTGAGCTCTACATGCTTCTGAATCAACAGGCAAAAAAGGAAGATACTACACTGGCTGAGGTGGCTGATCCTGATTACCAAAGAGAAATTGAGCTGCTACTACACAATGAAGGTAGGAAAAACATGTATGGAATACAGAGGGTTCTTTTGGAGTGTCTCTTAGTACTACCATGATGAAAGTCAATGAAAAACTACAAAAGACCAATTCAGGCAAGACTCCCTATGGCTCAGACTGTTTAGGAATACAGGTTTGGGTCACTCCACTAGGCAAAGAAACACTGTCATTTGAGGTGCTTGCTGAAGGCAAATATGAGATGGATAGTCGAAGGAGGTAGTCAAAAATACCAGCTATGACCATATAACAATTTGCAAAACTGAGGACTATAATTATGAGTGTTTTTTCCTTATTTTACCAAAAACTTTATATATACAAGTATTACTGTTTTTATTTCCTTCTCTCTCTTATTCCTTTATCATCTAACATAAGACATTTTTATAATAGTTCACTTTGTATCACAGTATTTAAGTTACAGAATATTAAAGAAGAGCGAACATCATTCAAATACTTGTATCGTTCTCTGGGTGAAGAATTAGCATGTTTACAGTTGTACACAGGATAGCTATGTCATGTTAGGTGGAAGTATGACTTGGTTGTTGTTATTATTTAGAGATTAGGTATGATTTAAGATGTGTATAGGTGACAAGTTGATAAGGAGTGAACTGCAATAAAACTGAGATTTATGGGTCAATTTGGCTAGGCTATAGTACCGAGTTATGTAATCAAACACTAATCTAGATGTTGCTGTGAAGGTATTTTGTAGATAGAATAAATGTCTATAATCAGTTGACCTTAAGTAAAGACGTATTTCCTTGATAATGTGTTTCGACTTTATCCAATTCGTTGAAAGGCCTTAAGAACAAAACTGAGGTTTGCCTGAGGAAGAAATTCTACTGTGGACTGTGGTGTCAGCTCCTGCCCAAAAGTTTCCAGCCTGTGAGCCTGCCCTACAAATTTTGGACTTACCTAGCCAGGTTGCACAATAATGTAAGCCAACTTCTTGAAATAATCACTCTCTCTCTCTCTCTCACACTCTCTAGCTCTCTCTCTCTCTCAGTCTCTTTCTCTCTTTCCCCTCCTGGCCTGCCACTCACTCTCTATCTCTCAGTAGGAGATATGTATAATCTTCTACTGGTTCTTGGTTCTTTTTCTCAGGTAGAATCCTGACTGATAGAATATATGTCAGTTCTCTAAAAAAAGGTAATACCACAAATGTATAAATTTATGGAAAATAATTAACCTTAATGCCTACCTCACACCAAATACCAAAATTAATATTAGGTTTAGACATGAATGTTAAATTTATACATTTCCTAGAAGAAAACTAATAATATATCTTCATAATCTTGAGGCAAAAATGTCTTTAAAAGTTTATTGCCTAGAAAGATCCTATTTAAAAAATGAAAATATAAGTCATAGGCTGGGAGAAAATATTCACAAGACATATACCCAACAAAGGACTTATATCCAGAATACATACAAAGAATCTTTTTTTTTTTTTTTTTGAGATGGAGTCTTGCTCTGTTGCCAGGCTGGAGTACACAGGCACGTTCTTGGCTCACTACAACCTCCACATCTTAGGTTCAAGCAATTCCCCTGCCTCAGCGTCCCAAGTAGATGGGACTACAGGTGCATGCCACCACGTCCAGCTAATTTTTTTGTATTTTAGTAGAGATGGGGCTTCACCATATTGGCCAGGCTGGTATTGAACTCCTGACCTTGTGATCCTCCTGCCTTGGCCTCCCAAAGTGCTGGGATTACAGGTGTGAGCCACCACACTCAGCCAAGAATTTTAGTAAATCAATAGTGAAGAGACAAACCATCCAATTTAAAAATGGACAAAAGAAACAGATGCTTCACAAAAGAGGATATATGAATGGCCAATATGCACAAGAAAACGTCATCAACAGCACAGATTAATTTCAAAAATATACTGCTTAGCAAAAAAGGTCATATGCCTAGGATACATACTATATTATTTCACGTAAATTTCAAGAAATAAAAATTTTAATTTATGGTAATATAAATCAGACAAGTATTCCTTTAGGACAACTGGGGACAGCAATTGACTAGAGGGAACACAATAGAACTTTCAGAGGTAATGAATGGTAATGTCTTCTATCTTGATTTGGGTGGTTGTTACATGAGTGCAGACGCTTTTTGAAACTGATCAAATTGTACACAAGATAAGTACATTTTCAGGAAAAGGAGAGTATCTTCAATAAATGGTGTTGGGAAAACTGGATTTTCACATGCAGAAAAATAAAATTGGACCCTTATCTCACACTATAAACAAAAATCATTTCAACATGGATTAAATACTTAAAAAAGACCAGAAACTCTAAAACTACTAGAAGAAAACATAAAAGAGTTTGAGACCAGCCTGGGCAACATAGCAAAATCCCATCTCTACAAAAACAATATAAAAATTAGCCAGGTATAGTGGGGTGCACCTATAGTCTCAGCTACTCAGGGGGCTGAGGTAGAAGGATCACTTAAGCCCCGGAGTTCATGGCTGCAGCGAACTGTGATGATGCCAGTGCACTCCAGCCTATGCAACAGAACAAGACTCTGTCTCGAAAAGAAAGAAAGAAAGAAATAAAAAAGAAAGAAAGAAAGAAAAAGAAAGAAAGAAAGAAAGAAAGAAAGAAAGAAAGAAACAAACAAACAAACAAACAAACCTGAGGCATCCAGTTTCTCACAAGGACTCACTAGGCAGATGGCTAGACCCATGAAAAGTGAGGAAAGCAGGATGGGGTGACAGCCCACCCAGGAGTGGCATGGAGCCAGGGGAACCCCCACTCCCAGCCAAGGGAGGCAGCGAGTGACTGTGCAACCTTGCCCAGGAAACCATTCTTTTCCTAGGGATCTTTGAGACCCAACAGAGCAGGAGATCCCCTCATGAGCCCACATCACCAGGACCTTGGGTTCAAAGCACAGAGCTGTGTGGCATCTCAGCAGAGTAGCCATTCATTCATTCAGCATGCAGAGAACCCCAGAAGTTTTGCATATTCCAGCCCCAGGAATTCTGACAAGGCAGGAGATCTCATGCATGCCCCTAGGAAGGAGCTGAATCCAGGGAGCCAAGTGCCATCATTCTGTGGGCCCCACTCCCATGGCATCTCACAAATCAAGGCCCACTGGCTTGAAATTCCAGCCAGCCAGTGGCAACGGGCTGGAGATGGCCTGACATGGACTGAGTTTATGGGAGTGGGGAGAGGTGGCTGCCATATCTGTGGTTGGAGTTGGCCACTCTAGCCTGCCAGTATGGGGGGGCTGGGAGAAATTCCCCACAATGCAGCACAGCTGCTGTACCTGATAGCGGGCACTCTGCTTCTTTAAGTGGGACCTCGATCCATCCTTCTTCACTGGGTGGGGCCTCCCTGCAGGAATTTCAGCAACTCCAGCCAGGGTTATACAAAGACAACTCTGATGTCTCCCTGAAACAGAGTCCCCAGGGGGAGGGGCAGCTGCTCTCTCTGCAATTCAGCAGACTTAGTCTTTCCAGACTGCTGGCTCTGGAGAGACTGGAGGTCAGCACAGCACACTTGCTCTGCCAAGGGGCAGTCAGACTGTTTCTTTAAGTGGATCCCCAAGTCTGTTTCTCATGTCTGTGTGAGACCTCCCAAAAGGGATCTCCAGAAACCTCCTACAGGAGCATTCTGGCCAGCAACAGGTTGGTGCCCCAGGGACAGAGCTCCCAGAGGAAGGAACAGGCTGTCATCTTTGCTGTTTCACAGGCTTTACCAGTGATACCTCCAGGTGCAGGAGGGTCCAAGGTGACTAGGGTCTGGAGTGGACCACTACCTAGGAAATTGCAGCAGTCCCACAGAAGAGTGGCCTAACAGTTAAAACACACACAGTAGGTGGGTTCCAACATGGCTGAATAGCAACAGCTCCAGTCTACAGCTCCCAGTGTGAGTGACACGGAAGACGGGTGATTTCTGGATTTCCAACTGAGGTACCAGGTTCATCTCACTGGGGCTTGTCAGACAGTGGGTGCAGGACAGTGGGTGCAGCCCACCGAGCAAGAGCCAAACAAGGGTGAGGCATCACCTCACCTGGGAAGCACAACGGGTCAGGGAATTCCCTTTCCTAGCCAAGGGAAGCTGTGACAGACAGCACCTGGAAAATTGGGTCATTCCCACCCTAATACTGCACTTTTCCAATGGTCTTAGCAAACAGCACACCAGGAGATAATATCCCGCGCCTGGCTCAGAGGGTCCCACACTTATGGAGCCTTGCTCATTGCTAGCACAGCAGTCTGAGATTGAACTGCAAGGCAGCAGCAAGCCTGGGGGAGGGGTGCAAACCATTGCTGAGGCTTGAGTAGGTAAACAAAGAGGCCAGGAAGCTCAAACTGGGTGGAGCCCACTGCAGCTCAAGGAGGCCTGCCTGCCTCTGTAGACTACACCTCTGGGGGCAAGACAGCTGAACAAAAGGCAGCAGAAACTTCTGCAGACCTAAATGTCCCTGTCTGACAGATTCGAAGAGAGTAGTGGTTCTCCCAGCACGGAATTTGAGATCTGAGAACTGACAGACTGCCTCCTCAAGTGGGTCCCTGACCCCCGAGTAGCCTAACTGGGAGGCACATCCCAGTAGGGGCAGACTGACACCTCACACGACCAGGTGCCACTCTGAGATGAAGCTTCCAGAGGAACGATCAGGCAGCAACATTTGCTGTTCTGCAATATTCGCTGTTCTGCAGCCTCCACTGCTGATACCAAGGCAAACAGGGTCGGGAGTGGACCTCCAGCAAACTCCAACAGACCTGCAGCTGAGGGTCCTGACTGTTAGAAGGAAAACTAACAAACAGAAAGGACATCCACACTAAAACCCCATCTGAACGTCACCATTATCAAAGACCAAAAGTAGATAAAACCACAAAGATGGGGAGAAACCAGAGCAGAAAAGCTGAAAAATTCTAAAAACCAGAGCACCTCTTCTCCTCCAAAGGAATGCAGCTCCTTGCCAGCAATAGAACAAAGCTGGAAGGAGAATGATTTTGACAAGTGGAGAGATGAAGGCTTCAGACAATCAAAATTCTCTGAGCTAAAGGAGGATGTCCCTTTGAACCCACTGCAAAGAAGCTAAAAACCTTGAAAAACGATTAGATGAATGGCTAACTAGAATAACCAGTGGAGAGAAGTTCTTAAATGACCTGATGGATCTGAAAACCATGGCACAAGAACTATGTGACACAAGTAGGAGCTTCAATAGCCAATTCAATCAACTGGAAGAAAGGGTATCAGTGATTGAAGATCAAACGAATGAAATGAAGCGAGAAGACAAGTTTAGAGAAAAAAGAGTAAAAAGAAATGAACAAAGCCTCCAAGAAATATGGGACTATGTGAAAAGACCAAATCTACATCTGATTGGTGTACCTGAAAGTGATGGGGAGAATGGAACCAAGTTGGAAAACACTCTGCAGGATATTATCCAGGAGAACTTCCCCAACCTAGCAAGGCAGGCCAATATTCAAATTCAGGAAATACAGAGAATGCCACAAAGATACTCCTCGAGAAGAGCAACTCCAAGACACATAATTGTCAGATTCACCAAAGTTGAAATGAAGGAAAAAATGTTAAGGACAGCCAGAGAAAAGGTCGGGTTACCCACAAAGGGAAGCCCATCAGACTAAGAGCAGATCTCTCGGCAGAAACTCTACAAGCCAGAGGAGAGTCGAGGTCGATATTCAACATTCTTAAAGAAAAGAATTTTCAACCCAGAATTTCATATCCAGCCAAACTAAGCTTCATAAGTGAAGGAGAAATAAAATCCTTTACAGACAATCAAATGCTGAGAGATTTTGTCACCACCAGGCCTGCCCTACAAGAGTTCCTGAAGGAAGCACTAAACATGGAAAGGAAAAACTGGTACCAGCCACTGCAAACACATGCTAAGTTGTAAAGACCATTGATGCTAGGAAGAAACTGCATCAACTAATGAGCAAAATAACCAGCTAACATCATAATGACAGGATCAAATTCACACACAATATTAACCTTATATGTAAATGGGCTAAATGCTCCAATTAAAAGACACAGACTGGCAAATTGGATAAAGGGTCAAGACCCATCAGTGTGCTGTATTCAGGAGACCCATCTCATGTGCAGAGACACACATAGGCTCAAAATAAAGGGAAGGTGGAAGATCTACCAAGCAAATGGAAAACAAAAAAATAGCAGGGGTTGCAATCCTAGTCTCTGATAAAACAGACCTTAAACCAACAAAGATCAAAAGAGACAAAGAAGGCCATTACATAATGGTAAAGGAATCAATTCAACAAGAAGAGCTAACTATCCTAAATATATATACACCCAATACAGGAGCACCCAGATTCATAAAGCAAGTCCTTAGAGACCTAAAAAGAGACTTAGACTCCCACACAATAATAATGGGAGACTTTAACACCCCACTGTCAACATTAGATAGATCAACAAGACAGAAAGTTAACAAGGATATCCAGGAATTGAATGCAGCTCTGCACCAAGCCGACCTAATAGACATCCACAGAACTCTCCAACACAAATCAACAGAATATACATTCTTCTCAGCACCACACCACACCTATTCCAAAATTGACCACATAATTGGAAGTAAAGCACTCCTCAGCAAATGTAAAAGAACAGAAATTATAACAAACTATCTCTCAGACCACAGTGCAATCAAACTAGAACTCAGGATTAAGAAACTCACTCAAAACCACTCAAGAACAAGGAAACTGAACAACCTGCTTCTGAATGACTACTGGGTACATAATAAAATGAAGGCAGAAATAAAGATGTTCTTTGAAACCAATGAGAACAAAGACACAACATACCAGAATCTCTAGGACACATTTAAAGCAGGGTGTAGAGGGAAATTTATAGCACTAAATGCCCACAAGAGAAAGCAGGAAAGATCTAAAATTGACACCCTAACATCACAATTAAAAGAACTAGAGAAGCAACAGCAAACACATTCAAAAGCTAGCAGAAGGCAAGAAATAACTCAGATCAGAGCAGAACTGAAGGAGATAGAGACACAAAAAATGCTTCAAAAAATCAATGAATCCAGGAGCTGGTTTTTTGAAAAGATCAACAAAATTGATAGACCATTAGCAAGACTAATAAAAAGGAAAAGAGAGACAAATCAAATAGTTGCAATAAAAAATGATAAAGGGGTTATCACCACCGATCCCACAGAAAAACAAACTACCATCACAGAATACTGTAAACACCCTATGCAAATAAACTAGAAAATCTAGAAGAAATGGATAAATTCCTGGACACATACACCCTCCCAAGATTAAGCTGGGAAGAAGTTGAATCCCTGAATAGACGAATAACAGGCTCTGAAATTGAGGTAATAATTAATAGCTTACCAACGAAAAAAGGTCCAGGACCAGAAAGATTCACAGCCAAATTCTACCAGAGGTATAAGGAGGAATGGTACCATTCCTTCTGAAACTATTCCAATCTATAGAAAAAAGAGGGAATCCTCTCTAACTCATTTTATGAGGCCTGCATCATCCTGATACCAAAGCCTGGCAGAGACACAACAAAAAAAGATAATTTTGGACCATCATCCCTGATGAACATCGATGCAAAAATCCTCAATAAGATACCAGCAAACCGAATCCAGCAGCACATCAAAAAGCTTATCCCATTGGTAGAAAGCTGAAACTGGATCCCTTCCTTACACCTTATACAAAAATTAATTCAAGATGGATTAAAGACTTAAATGTTAGACCTAAAACTATAAAAACCCTAGAAGAAAACCTAGGCAATACCATTCAGGACATAGGCAAGTGCAAGGACTTCATGTCTCAAACACCAAAAGCAATGGCAACAAAAGCCAAAATTGACAAATGGGATCTAATTAAACTAAAGAGCTTCTGCAAAGCAAAAGAAACTACCATCAGAGTGAATAGGCAACCTACCGAATGGGAGAAAAGTTTTGCAATCTACTCATCTGACACAGGGCTAATACACAGAATCTGCAAATAACTCAAACAAATTTACAAGAAAAAAACAACCCCATCGAAAAGTGGGTGAAGGATATAAACAGACACTTCTCAAAAGAAGACATTTATACAGCCAACAGACACATGAAAAAATGCTCATCATCACTGGCCATCAGAGAAATGCAACTCAAAGCCGCAATGAGATATCATCTCACACCAGTTAGAATGGCAATCATTAAAAAGTCAGGAAACAACAGGTGCTGGAGAGAATGTGAGAAATAGGAACACTTTTACACTGTTGGTGGGACTGTAAACTAGTTCAACCATTGTGGAAGACTGTGTGGCGATTCCTCAGGGATCTAGAACTAGAAATACCATTTGACCCAGCCATCCCATTACTGGGTATATACCCAAAGGATTATAAATCATGCTGCCATAAAGACACATGCACATGTATGTTTATTGTGGCATTATTCACAATAGCAAAGACTTGGAACCAAACCAAATGTCCATCAATGATAGACTGGATTAAGAAGATGTGGCACATATACACCATAGAATACTATGCAGCCATAAAAGGGGATGAGTTCATGTCCTTTGTAGGGACGTGGATGAAGCTGGAAGCCATCATTCTCAGCAAACTATCGCAAGGACAGAAAACCAAACACCACATGTTCTCACTCGTAGGTGGGAATTGAACAATGAGAACACTTCGACATGAGAAGGGGAACATCACACAACCAGGGCCTGTTGTGGGGTGGGGGTAGGGGGGAGGGATAGCATTAGGAGATATACCTAATGTAAATGACGAGTTAATGGGTGCAGCACACCAACATCGCTTATGCATACATATGTAACAAACCTGCACATTGTGCACATATACCCTAGAACTTAAAGTATAATTAAGTAAAAATACAGAAAAAGAAGGATAAAAAAAGCTTATCCACCATGATCAAGTGGGCTTCATCCCTGGGATGCAAGGCTGGTTCAACAAAGGAAAATCAATAAACATAATCCAGCATATAAACAGAACCAAAGACAAAAACCACATGATTATTTCAATAGATGTAGAAAAGTCCTTTGACAAAATCCAGCAGCCCTTCATGCTAAAAACTCTCAATAAATTAGGTATTGATGGGGCATATCTCAAAATAATAAGAGCTATTTATGACAAACCCACAGCCAATATCATACTGAATGGGCACAAACTGGAAGCATTCCCTTTGAAAACTGGCACAAGACAGGGATGCCCTCTCTCACCACTCCTATTCAACATAGTGTTGGAAGTTCTGGACAGGGCAATCAGGCAGGAGAAAGAAATAAAGGGAATTCAATTAGGAAAAGAGGAAGTCAAATTGTCCCTGTTTGCAGATGACATGACTGTATATTTAGAAAACCCCATTGTCTCAGCCCAAAATCTCTTTAAGCTGATGAGCAGCTTCAGCAAAGTCTCAGGATACAAAATCAATGTGCAAAGATCACAAGCATTCCTATACACCAATAACAGACAAACAGAGAGCCAAATCATGAGTGAACTCCCATTCACAACTGCTTCAAAGAGAATAAAATACCTAGGAATCCAACTTACAAGGGATGTGAAGGACCTCTTCAAGGAGAACTACAAACCACTGCTCAACGAAATAAAACAGGACACAAACAAATGGAAGAATATGCCATGCTCATGGATAGGAAGAATCAATATCATGAAAATGACCATACTGTCCAAGGTAATTTATAGATTCAATACCATCCCCATCAAGCTACCAATGACTTTCTTCACAGAATTGGAAAAAACTATTTTAAAGCTCATATGGAACCATAAAAGAGCCTGCATTGCTAAGACAATCCTAAACAAAAAAGAACAAAGCTGGAGGTATCATGCTACCTGACTTCAAACTATACTACAAGGCTACAGTAACCAAAACAGCGTGGTACTGGTACCAAAACAGAGATATAGACCAATGGAACAGAACAGAGCCCTCAGAAATAATACCACACATCTACAACCATCTGATCTTTGACAAACCTGACAAAAATAAGAAATGGGGAAAGGATTCCCTATTTAATAAATGGTGTTGGGAAAACTGGCTAGCCATAGGTAGAAAGCTGAAACTGGATCCCTTCCTTACACCTTATACAAAAATTAATTCAAGATGGATTAAAGACTTAAATGTTAGACATAAAACCATAAAAACCCTAGAAGAAAACCTAGGCAATACCATTCAGGACATAGGCATGGGCAACGACTTCATGTCTAAAACACCAAAAGCAATGGCAACAAAAGCCAAAATTGACAAATGGGATCTAACTAAACTAAAGAGCTTCCACACAGCAGAAGAAACTACCATCAGAGTGAACAGGCAACCTAGTTCAACCATTGTGGAAGACAGTGTGGTGATTCCTCAAGGATCTAGAACTAGAAATACCATTTGACCCAGCCATCTCATTACTGGGTATATACCCAAAGGATTATAAATCATGCTGCTATAAAGACACATGCACACATATGTTTATTGTGGCACTATTCACAATAGCAAAGACTTGGAACCAACCCAAATGTCCACTGGATTAAGAAAATGTGGCACATATACACCATGGAATACTATGCAGCCATAAAAGAGGATGAGTTCATGTCCTTTGTAGGGACATGGATGAAGGTGGAAACCATCATTGTCAGCAAACTATCACAAGGGAAGAAAACCAAACACCACATGTTCTCACTCATAGGTGGGAATTGAACAGTGAGAACACTTCAACAAGGGAAGGGGAACATCACACACTGGGGCCTGTGGTGCGGTGGGGGAGGGGGAAGGATAGCATTAGGAGATATACCTGATGTAAATGATGAGTTAATGGGTCCAGCACACCAACATGGCACATGTATACACATGTAACAAACCTGCACATTGTGCACATGTACCCTAGAACTTAAAGTATAATAATAATAATTAATAAATAAATAAATACACACACACACACACACACACAAACCAGAAAGCAACAACAACATCAATAGAAAAGACCCCTCAAAAATCCCATTCAAAAGTCAGCAACCTCAAAGACTGAAGGTAGATAAGCCCACAAAATGAAAAAGAATCAATGCAAAAATGTTGAAAACTAAAAAAGCCAGAGTGCCTCTTTTCCTCCGAGTGACCACAACACCTCCCCAGCAAGGGCACAGAACTGGGCTGAGTCTGGGATGGCTGAACTGACAGAAATTGGTTTCAGAAGGTGTGTAATAACGAATTTCACTCAGCGAAGGGAGCATGTTCTAATCAAATGCCAAGATGCTAAGAATCATGATAAAACATTACAGAAGCTGATAACCAGAATAGCCAGTTGAGAGAGGAACATAAATGACCTGATGGAATTGAAAAACACAACATGTGAACTTCACATTGCAATCCCAAGTATGAATAGCCGAATAGACCAAGCCAAGAAAAGAATCTCAGAGCTTGAACAATATCATTCTGAAATAAGGCAGGCAGAAAAGAAAACAGAAAAAGGAATGAAAAGGAATAAACAAAACCTCTGAGAAATATGTGATTATGTAAAATGACTGACCCTGTGACTGATTGGGGTACCTGAAAGAGACAGGGAGAATGGAACCAAGTTGCAAAACACTCTGCAGGATATTGTCCAGGAGAATTTCCCCAACCTAGCAAGACAGGCCAACATTCAAATTCAGGAAATTCAGAGAACCCCAATAAGATACTCCATGAGAAGATCAACCCCAAGACACATAATCGTCAGGTTCTTGAAGATGGCAATGAAAGAAAAAATGTTAAGGGCAGCCAGAGAGAAAGGAAAGTGGAAACCTTATAAGCCAGAAGATTTTGGGGGACAATATTCAACATTCTTAAAGAAAAGAATTTCCAACTCAGAATTTCATATATGGCCAAACTAAGCTTCATAAGGGAAAGAGAAATAAGATCCTTTTCAGACAAGCAAATGCTGATGAAATAAGTCACCATCAGGCTGTGCTTTGCAAGAGTTGCTGAAGGAAGCACTAAACATGAAAGAGAAAAACTGTTACCAGCCACTACAAAAGCATGCTGAAGTACACAGACCAGTGACACAAAGAAGCAACCACATAAACAAGTATGCAAAATAACCAATTATCATCATGATGATAGGATCAAATTCACACATAACAATATTAATCTTAAATGTAAATAGGCTAAATGCCCCAATTAAAAGACACAGAATGACAAGCTGGATAAAGATTCAAGCCCCATTGGTATGCTGTCTTCAAGAGACCCATCTCATGTGCAAAGACACACATAAGCTCAAAATAAAGGGATGGAGGAAAAATTACCAAGCAAATGGAAAACAGAAAAAAGCAGGGGTTGCAATCCTAGTTTCTGACAAAACAGTGAGAAATAGACACTTACTATAGATATGAGTTTGCCTATTCTCTGCCCTTTTCATGATGCTCTTACTCCAGATATGGATTTGCCAAACCTCTGCCCTTTTCATGATGGAAGAGGTCTGATATAATCAACCAGTCACCAGGTAGCTGGCTGATCACCCCGAGGAATGGTGCCATATCAAGGGCTCAGTGTTGGTCTCTGGTGCTGGCAAATTGGGCACTCAGCTAATCTCCATCCCTGCCACCATGGCCACTTTGTTTATGGGCTCATGGGGTGATGACAGGTGTGGCTGGGGAAAGAGGCTGAGTGGTATCCACAGAACGGGTCACCCTATTTAATTGATTATTAAACTCCTCCTCTGCTGATGTCACCCATTGGTGAGCGCTCACATGGAATACAAATATCTTCACAGTTTTTCACCACTAAGAGAGGCACATCCACATACCTCTTCCCCAAACTTCTTTGTCACCAATTTTTCAATCATGCTTCCTCCCTGACCACCCAGCCAAACCATTGGCTACAGCCCGTGAATCAGTATATAATTGCACATCTGGCCATTTTTCCTTCCAAGTAAGGTGCACAACCAGGTGCACTGCTCAAACTTCTACCCACTGGGAAGATTTCCCTTCACCATTGTCCTTCAGGGATGTCCTAGAAAGGGGCTATAGTGCTGCAGCTGTACACTTTTGGGTGGTGCCTGCATATCGTGCAGAATCATCTGTAAACCAGGCCCTACTCTTCTCTTCCTCTATCAACTGATCATAGAGAACTCCCCATGAGGCCATCAGTGCAGGCTGGAGGAAAGAAGGCAGGGTGGCAGGAGTGGAGACCCATGGGCCTTTGAGCTACTTCCTCGTGTAACTTACTTGTGCCTTCAGGAACTTCTTGAGCCTGGTCACATATATACCACTTTTATTTGATGATGGAATGCTGCTGTGCATGACCCACTTTAAGGCTAGATTGGTCAGAAAGCACCCAGTTCATGATAGGTAGTTCAGGTCACATTCATGTTGACTTGATGACCCATAGTCAAACGTTCAGTTTCCACCAAAGCCGAGTAACAGTCCAAGAGCTGTCTCTCAAAAGGAGAGTAATTGTCTACAGAAGATGGCAGGACCTTGCTCCAAAATCCTAGAGGCCTCTGCTGTTATTCACCTATAGGAGCCTACCAAAGGCTCCAAACAGCATCCCTATCTGCCACTGACACCTCAAGCACCATTGGATCCACTGGGTCATATGGCCCAAGTGGCAGAGCAGCTTGCACAGCAGCCTAGACCTGTTACAGAGCCTTCTCCTGTTCTGGACACCACTCAAAACTGGCAGCCTTTCAGGTCACTCAATAAATGGGCTGGAGTAACACACCCAAATGAGGAATGTGTTGCCTCCAAAATCCAAATAGGCCCACTAGGCGTTGTGTCTCTTTCTTGGTTGTAGGAGGGGCTAAATGCAGCAACTCACCCTTCACTTTAGAAGGAATATCTCAATAGGCCGCACACCACTGGACCCCTTGAAATTTTACAGAGGCAGTAGATCCCTGAATTTTAGTCAGATTTATTTCCCATCCTCTGGCACACAAATGTCTCACCAATAAGTCCAGTGTGTTTGCTACTTCTTACTCATTGGATCCAATTAACATAATGTCATCAATGTAATGGACCAGTGTGATATCTGTGGAAGCAAAAAGCTATCAAGATCTCTTCTAATAAGACTATGGCACAAAGCCAGAGAGTTGATACACCCCTGAGATAGGACAGTAAAGGTATATTGCTGGCTTTGCCAGCTGAAGGCAAATTGCTTCTGGTGGGCCTTATGAACAGGAAGGGAGAAAAGAGCATTTGCCAAGTCAATGGCTGCATACAAGGTACCACGAGATGTGTTAATTTGCTCAAGCAATGAAACCACATCTGGTACAGGAGATGCAATTAGAGTCACCACTTGGCTAAGCTTAAGATAATCCACTGTCATTCTTTAAGATCCATCTGTCTTCTGCACAGGCCAAATAGGAGAGTTGAATGGGGACGTGGTAGGAATCACCACCACTGGGTCTTTCAGGTCCTTGGTGGTGGCACTGATCTCTGCAATCCCTCTAGGGAAGTGATGTTGGTTTTTATTTACTATTTTTCTAGGTAGAGGCAGCTCTAATGGCTTCCATTTGGCCTTTCCCACCATAATAGCCCTCAACCTACCAGTCAGGGAGCCTATGTGGGGGTTCTGCAGGCTGCTAAGTATGTCTATGCCAATTATGCATTCTGGCACTGGGGAAATGACCATGGGATGAGTCCAGGGAACCACTGTAAGTCAGACCTGAGCTAAAACTCCACTAATTACCTGACCTCCATAAGCCCCTACTTTAACTGGAGGACCACAATGATATTTTGGGTCCCCTGGAATCAATGTCGACTCAGAGCCAGTGTCCAGTAGTCCCTGAAATGTCTGATCATTTCCCTTTCCCCAGTGGACAGTTACTCTAGTAAAAGGCTGGAGGTCTCCTTGGGGAAGGATGGGAGAAAGATCAATAGCATAAATTGTTGATAGTGAAGTGGGGCCCTTCCTCAAGAAGACCCAGGCTTCCCTTCATTCAAGGGGTTCTGGGTCTGTAAACTGGCTCAAGTCTGGAAGTTGATTGAGGCGCCATGATTCTCTGTTTCATAATTCAAATTAGTCTTTTGTCCATTTGACCTGGAAGTTTTCTGCTTATATAAATTAAGCAGGAATGGAGAAGGCTTCCTATCAATTTCACATCTAGGAACCATGATTAATTAGCCAGTGCCAGAGTGCTACATGAGTCAGATTATTCTGATTGCTGTTTTGCTTCTGCTGTCCATTACAGTAACTACACCCACCTTGCCTTTGATGCTCGAGTGCCACAACTTAGCCCCTGCCACCTCAGAATCCAATTATTCCCATTGTATTTAACTTTTGTAGTTGAGTGACTGTGATTCTCACTGTTAGATATGACATACAGAGAATAGCAATTACAGGGCTCTTCAAAGAGGCAGGTGCTGCCCTCACAAATCTATTTCACAAAGCACTGGTCAAGGGTATATTTTCTGCACCCTCCCAGCTGGGATGAGTATGTCTAAAGTAACTAATCCACTCCACCATCCCAATCTCCCTAAGCCTGTGGATCCCTTCCTTTACATTAAAGCAAGGAAGATCAGGCATGTCCAGCTTGCTCACAATGGGCCATCTTTTAATCCATGTTTCAGCTAACCAAGCAAGTAAACTATTAAAACCTTTTTTAACTTCCTGAGCTGCAACATTAAAATCAGAATCTCTATTTAGTGGGCCCAAATCAATAAATTCAGCCTGATCCAACTCTATGTTTCTTTCACCATTATCCTACACCCTTAATATCCATTCCCATGACTGTTCTCCAGATTTCTGCTTATATAAATTTGAAAAGTCAAGCAGTTCTTTTCTATTGTAACACACCTCCTCATGGGCCACACTCTGAACCTGACTTCTAGGGGCCCACCAGAACTTTAGTCTAGTTATAGGTCTTGAAGCAAACAGGAGTGTTGGGGGTGGCTACTGAGGAGAATCAACATTATCTTGCCTCAGACAGCACAGGGTTTATCTACTCAGACAAAGGAGGAAAGGCTGATGGCAGCATGGGTCACAGAGCGGATGTTGCCACTACTGGGAACAGAAGCTGTTTCTTCTGGCAAAAAAGACTTATCAGAGTTTACAAGCTTAGTGTCCCCAGCTTCATCAGGGTCCTCCCACACATCCCCATTCCAAATTGCAGGGTCCCATTCTTTTCCAATCAATGCCCTCACTTTAACAGTAAACCCCTGGCAAGGCTGTTCATTCACCTTTCATTGCAGGTTAGCCACTTGTATAAGAGCTTGTGTCTTTTTTCCCACAATTTCAGCTCTTTCTCTACAGGAGATAAGATTCCCACTCAGGGCAATCTTAGCAGATTTGAGGCTCAGTATCCACTTCTGAAGCTGGGAGTTAGAATCCCTGAGTTCATCATTTTGTTTCATCACTTTATCCAGTGAACTTAGGAGCAACCAACCAACTTCATTATCTTCCTTGGTTCTCCACATGTAGTCAAAAGTATTATGTATAGAGTCACTAAACTCCTTGCATCTCACAAGCAGTGAATCAGGACTGTCAAATGCATCTATTTTGCATAACCCTCTAAACAGTTCACACCAAGGACTATCGGTGTTCTCCATACTATTAGAAGTAGAGTCGTTAGCATTTTTGGGTCAAATCATATTAGCAGTCAACTCCACAAACCCCAAAACCAATGAAAGAACTCCATGCTTAATATTCTGTTCATCTAGAACCACTCCTGGTACCAAAATCTGTATCAGTCAGGGCTCTCTAGAGGGACAGAACTAATATATATATAAATGGAGTTTATTAAGTAGTATTAACACACACGATCACAAGGTCCCACAATAGGCCATCTGCAAACTGAGGAGCAAGGAAGCCAGTCCAAGTCTCAAAGCTGAAAAACATGGAGTTCAATGTTCGAGGGCAGGAGGCATCCAGCACAGGAGAAAGATGTAGGCTAGGAGGCTAAGCCTTTTCACATTTTTTTTCCTGCTTTACATTCTGGCCTCACTGAGAGCTTATTAGATGGTGCCCACCCGGATTAAGGGTGGGTCTGCCTTTCCCAGCCCACTGACCCAAATGTTAATCTCCTTTGGCAACACCCTCATAGACATACCTAGGATCAATATTTTGCATCCTTCAATACGGTCAAGATTGGATTGTGTCTGAGTATCAGAATAGGGAGTGTCAACTTGATTGGATTGTGATTAACCATCACACCATCTGACAAAGGTCTGATATCCAGAGCCTACATGGAACTCAAACAAAATTACAAGAAAAAAAAAAACCCATTAAAAAGTCGGCAAAAGACATGAACAGACACTTCTCAAATGAAGACATTCATGAGGCCAACAAATATATGAAAAAAAGTCCAACATTCCTGATTATTAGAGAAACACAAATCAAAACCACAATGAGACACCATCTCACTCCAGTCAGAATGGTGATTATTAAAAAGTCAAGAAACAACAATTGCTGGCAAGATTGTGGAGAAAAGGAATGCTTTTATACTGTTGGTGGAAGTATAAGTTAGTTCAACCACTGTGGAAGACAGTGTGGTGATTCCTCAAAGACCTAGTGCCAGAAATACCATTTGACCCAGCAATCCCAGTACTGAGTATTTACCCAAAGGAACATAAATCATTCTATTATAAAAATACATGCACATGTATGTTCATTGCATCACTATTCACAATAGCAAAGATATGGAATCAACCCAAATGCCCATCAATGATAGGCTGGATAAGGAAAATGTGGCACAAATACACCATGGAATACTATGCAACCATAAAAAGGAATGAGATCATGTCCTTTGCAGGGACATGGATGGAGCTGGAAGCCGTTATCCTCAGCAAACTAATGCAAGAACAGAAAACCAAACACCACATTTCTCACTTATAAATGGAAGCTGAACAATGAGAACACATGAACACATTGCAGGGGAACAACACACAGTGAGGCCTGTTGGGAGGGGGCACAAGGAGGAGGGAGAGCATCTGGAAGAATAGCTAGTGGGTACTTAACAACAGGGTGATGGGTTGATCTGTGCTGCAAATAACCACAGCACACATTTACCTGTGTAACAAACTTAATCATTACGGAAATACAATTAAAATTACAATGAGATACTTCACACCTGTCATAATAGTTTTTATCAAAAAGATAAGAGATAACAAGTATTGGGGAGGATATAGAGGAAAGGAACCCTGTACACTGTTAGTAGGAATGTAAATTAGTATAGCCATTACGGAAAACAGTATGGAGCTTCCTCAAAAAACTAAAAACAGAATTACCATATGATCCAGCAGTCTGGGTATCCACTTCTGGGTATTTCTCCAAAAGAGCTGAAATCAATATGCCGAAGAGACAACTGCACCCAGTGTTCTTTACTAGCACTATTCACAATAGCCAAGTTATGGACTCATTCTAAGTGTCCATGTACAGATAGATTTTTTTGAGACAGGGTCTTGCTCTGTTACCCAGGCTGAAGTGCAGTGACACCATCATAGCTCACTGCAGCATTGACCTGCCTGGCTCAAGCAATCCTTCAGTCTTAGCCTCCCAAGTAGCTGGGACTACAGGTTGGGCCACCATGCCTGGCTTAGATTTTGTTAGTGTGGTATATACACACAATGCAATGCGATACTATTCAAACTTTAAAAAAGAAGGGAATTCTGTCATTTGTGACAACATGGATAGAATTGGAGAACATCATGCTAACTGAAATAAGTCAGGCACAGAAAGATAAATACTGAATGAACTCACTCATATGTGGAATCTAAAATGATTGAACTCGTAGAGACAGTAGAATGGTGGTTACAGAGGCTGGGGGATGGGAGGAATGGGGAGATAATAGTCAAAGGATACAAAATCTCAGACGGGAGGAATATCTTTTTTCATTTTTTGAGTTCTATTGCACAGCATAGTGAATAGTTCATAATAGAGTATCATACATTTCAAAATTGCTAAGAGAGTACATTTCAAGTGTTTATCATTAAAAATGCTAAGGATTTGAGGTGATGGGTATGTTAACCAGCTTCATTTAATTATTCTACATTGTTAATAAACTATAATTTCACTTTGTACCCCATAAATTTATACAATTGTAAATTGTCAACTTACAGTTAAAAGGTACATTTTCCTGTGCTAAATTTTATCTCAATAAAAAAGAAAGTAGGTGCTAGGTGGGCCAGCTCGGGCCAAGGTGGGGGTCTGACCCAGCAGGGCCTCACACCAGCGAGGTCGCTGGCGCCCCACACGTCTGCAGGGCCTGGCAGAGGAGAAGCCACAAGACCACAAGATATTGGGGTGGACCCCTAGCCTGCGACCAAGGCTTAGAGAAGCAGCAAGTACCTGGCAGGACTGTGTATGAGCCGCCTCCACTCCTAGTGATCGCAGATTTGGGGTGCTAAAGACCTGGAGTCATGGTGTTCCTGACCCCTCTAGTGGACTCTCAAGGAGGTCTGCTGATTATGCAATGGTAGCAGAGTTGCAAGGAAACAGGTTTTGAACCAATGAAGCTGTATTTACTTAAAAAGACGGACCACCCATCATGTGACCTACAGCATTCGTGGACAGATTTACATTGGGTTCATTGTGCCATCAGGCATGCAGTTTCAGCCAAGTTTCCCTAAGCTCTCAGAGGGTTGCTTTAACTTTTGAATCTGAGTTGCAAAGTTCAATAAATAATGGCCCTATGGATAAGCACAAAGTCAAGAGACAGTGATTGAACAGAATTTGTGAAGGGTGAAGGTATCCGCTTTCAGACCGTGAACAGGCCCTTTGCACCCCAGCACCCCCCAGCCCCCAGTGGCACTGCTGGACTGAGGCCACTGCACCGTGGAGATGACTATCCTGAAAAACTTAGCCACCGTGGCCTTCTGTGACACGCAGTCCACACAGGAGATCCAAGAGTAGGTTTAAACGAAGCGGTAGGCACCATGAGGCACCACACCACCACCCTCAACAGGGAGGACTTGGAGAGGTTAAAAGCCCTGAGAGTGACCGTGCAGATAGGCAGCAGCTACGACTATGAGAACATCAGGGCTGCCAGCAAGCTCAGGATCGCTGTGTGCAGCATCCTGTCCATAGCAGTGGAACAGATAGTCAATTCCACTTCCATCTGTACCGGAAGAACAGGTGGCTGTACCAGACGCTGCGGGAAGCGATGCGGGTACAGAGTATGGAGCAGATCCGCGAGGTCAACTCGGGAGGAGCCTACATCTTAGGGAGATGGTGGGCCTCATCGGCTGCAATTGCAGGGGGCAGGCAGTTGCTGTTCTATCCAAGGTCTTTGGATTGAGTGTCATATTTTATGACCCCTACTTGCAGGATGGGATAGAATGGTTCCTGGGCCTGCAGAGGACCTACACCCTGCAGGATTTGTTGTATCAGAGACACTGCGTCTCCTTACACTGTAATCTCAATGAACATCACCACCACCTCTTTGATGGTGATGGTGACTTTACTATAAAGTAGATGAGGCAAGAGGCATTCCTTGCAAATGTAGCCTGGGGCATCCTGTTGGATAAGAAAGCCTTAGCTCAGGGCCCTCAAGGAGGGCAGGAAAGGAGAGGCAGCCCTCCAAGTATATGAATAGGAGCCCTTCAGCTGTGTTCCTGGTCCATTGAAAGATGCACCAAATTCTATCTGTACTCCCCACACCGCCTGGTATAGTGAGCAAACATCACTAGAGACAAGGAAGGCAGCTGCCACCAAGATCTGCGAAGCCTTCACATCCCAGAAAGCTTAAGAAACTGTGTGAAGGGTTGGGCGTCATGGCACAGCCCAGTAATCCCAACACTTCGGGAGGCCAAAATGGGTAGATTACTTGAGCTCAGGAGTTCCAGACCAGGCTGGCCAACATGGTGAAACCCCGTCTTTACAAAATATACAAAAATTAGCTGGGCATGTTGGTGTGTTCTGGTAATCCCAGCTACTCCGGAGGCTGAGGCACAAGAATCGTTTGAATCTGGTAGGCGGAGGTTGCAGTGAGCTGAGATTGCACCACTAAAACAAAAAAAAAAAAAAAAAAAGAGAGAGAAAAAAGAAAGAAAACTGTGAACAAGGAATTCTTTGTCACATGAGCTCCTTGGTCAGTAATAAACCAGCAAGCAATTTATCTCGAGCTCAATGGTGTGCATGCAGATATCGGCCAAACACGGTGGATCTGGCTCCAGGAGGACTTCCTGCCGCCATGGGAGGGATCATCCCTGGAGGCATTCCAGTGATTCACAATCTCCCCACCGCGGCACACCCTTCCCAAGCTCCCTCTCCCAACCAGCCCATAAAACATGGGGACAATCAAGAACACCCCAACGAGGCCAGGCGGTGGCTCACCCCTCTAATTCCAGCACTTTGGGAGGCTGAGGCAGGCAGATCACTGAGGAAAGAGTTCGAGACCAGCCTGAACAACATGGCAAAACCCTATCTCTACCAAAAACATACAAAAATTAGCCGGGTGTGGTAGCGGGCGCCTGTAGTCCCAGGTACTCGGGAGGCCAAGGCACGAGAATCGCTTGAACTTGGGAGGCGGAGGTTGCAGATAGCGCCACTGCACTCCAGCCTGGGCTACAGAGGGAGACTCTGTCTCAAAAAAAATTAAATAACACCTCAACAAGCAATTCCAGAGAATGCCGAAAGATAATCATTCAAATAAACTTGAGACCAACAGACAGTAAAAAATTAATGAAGAGAAAAGGAATTTGATGGTCTTTTTAAACTGATTCTGGATATATGCATCATTAATGTTGCAGTGTTAAAACTAGCTGGAAAGTTGAAGATGTCCTCTGCTTACAGAAGAGCTGAAAGACTATGATGTTATTTGTTAATGACCAGCTGCTGTTATTGTATGTTAAGTTTTTCATCTGTGCATCAAACCATAAAGAATAGAGATTTTTCCTTTATCAGTCCTTTGGGCACAGCAGGTCCTGAACATTCCGCTCTAAAATGTTACATCAAGAGTTTCAAACATCAAAATAAAAAATGTTAGGAGGAAATCCCCATTTTAAGACTCTAGTCCCTTCAGGCTACAGAGGCTGATTATCTCTTTTTGCTAATAGGAACATTACATTACTACAAAATGGAGACAAAATTGTTTGCCTGTGTTAGACGTCTGCATGCATAGGATTGGAGACAGCACAGACTCCTGTAGAGAGAACTGTCTTTCACATCTGAACGGCATACTGAGTGGGCAAGTTGGTTTTAAGTTCAGTAAAACCTTCTGATGATGGGGAAAAATAGTATTAAGTTTCACAACCTGTTTTTACTCAAATATATTTTCTCAGTCTCAGATCCTCTGCTATTTTATTAAGTGGAAAGTCATTAACTAAAAGAGTTCAAGAAGATAATGTTGCATTTCCTTATATCTCAGGGAACACTTTTTATGATAACTTGTCAGATTTTCTATGAACAAACCCACTTTTTTAGACATTGATAAAGTCTTCTTTTCTTCCCATGACATTTTATACAAGTACACTCCAGATGTATTAGATATGACTAATTTTAACAAATCCTATCAGATTTGTATCAACTAGTTACATGCTTTATTCATAGTCTTTGTGAATCATTGCCTTTTTGTTTAAAAAGATGGCCTATTCTGAGCCTTTGTATAAGTATATTCTTGTTTTTGTGACGAAAGAAAAACTTTAAAACTGTCCCAAATAGAAAAATAATGGCTATCAGAAGTATGTTTTGTTTCAGTGTGAGTTACCATTACTATATTTGTTTATTGTAAAGGTGGACATTTAGCATTCAGTGCAATTCACAATAAAAAATTTTCTGTTAAGTTCTGAAATTCAGTTACATCTCACTAATGTAAAAGTTCTCTACTTGAGATGTTTAAGGCAACTGCATTGTCAATTAGCCAATTTCCAACCCTTGTTACTCCAGGGTTCTATCTGCCTAATACCATAACCAGACTCAAGAACACTGAAAATTACCTCATATGATAGAAAGATAAATTAAAAATTAAAACCTCACACAAGTCCATCATTATCAAATCATGCCATCCTTAAGATATAATAGTGAGTTAGAGCTAAGTCAATTCAAAAAACAAAGTTGCTCAACTTTTAGAGTTTTGATTTTAATTTAACCCAAAGCAAAATTACCTGGCTCAAGGGAGGGAAGTGAACCTTGAAACTCTTTTGCCAATAACCAAACAATTGTGACATTTACAAAGAGGTGTTGTAAAATAATTTACATCAGCCATTTCCATAGGTTAAGAACTTTAAGTTAATTTCATGGATCTTCCTTTTTAAATAGCATTAAACCTTTATACTAAAAACAAAAGTATGTTTCTACGTTGTATTTTTATATCAGCAGCAGCAAGCAAAAAAATGTTTTCATTTTTTGCTGTTATTTTTTCAGTGGCCAGTTCTATAATTTATTTTTTGTTTTTTTTAATTTTTTTGTTGAAAACAATGTTTTGTTTTGTTTTTGAGATGGAATCTTGCTCTGTCGCCCATACTAGAATGCAATGGCGCGATCTTAGCTCACTGCAACCTCCGCCTCAAGCGATTCTCCTGCCTCAGCCTCCTGAGTAGCTGGGATTACAGGCACCCACCAGCTAATTTTTGTATTTTTAGTAGAGATGGTGTTTCACCATCTTGGCCAGGCTGGTCTCAAACTCCTGACCTCGTGATCCACCTGCCTTGGCCTCCCAAAGTGCTAGGATTACAGGCATGAGCCACCACACCCGGCCTGTTTTGTTTTGTTTTTGAGACAGGGTCTGCTCTGTTGCCCAGGATTGAGTACAGTGGCACCATCATGGCTCACTGCAGCCTTGACTTCCTGGGATCAATCCGTGTTTCTCCCTCAGCCTCCTGAGTAGCTGGGACTGCAGGCACATGCCACCACACCCAGCTAATTTTTGTAGAGATGAGGTTTTTGCCCAGGCTGGTCTCTAACTCCTGGACTTAAGCAATCTGCCTACCTCAGCTTCTCAAAATGTTGAGATTACAGGCGTGAGCCTGGCCAAAAATGAAATTTTTAAACTGTCATTTATAATGTCAAAAAATTATGTACCCATTAAGCTAAGACATTACATGCAAAAATTCTCCAAAAAACTATAACACTTTATTGAGAGGCATTTGAGAAAATGAATAAACGAAGGGATATACCAAGTCCATTGATTGGAAGACTCAATACTATAAATTCTCAATTCTTATTATAGATTGTTAATTCTCTCCAAACTTACCAGTAGATTCGGTGCAACTTCAATCAAAACCCTAACAGGCTTTTTTTCTTTTCCTTTTTGTTTTATTTTAATTTGGGTTTTGAGACAGGGTCTCACTCTTTCACCCAGGCTGGAGTGCAGTAGTGCCATCACAGCTCATTGAAGCCTTGACCTCCTGGACTGAAGCGATCCTCCCACCTCATTCTCCCAAGTAGCTGGGACTACAGGAACCCACAATCATGCCTGGCTAATTTTTTAATTTTTCTGTAGAGACAGGGGTCTCACTATGTTGCCCAGACTGGTCTAAAACTCCTGGGCTCAAGCCATCCTCCCACCTTGGCATCCCAAAGTGCTGGAAGTACAGGCATGAGCCACCATGTCTGGCTTTTTTCCTTTTTGTAATATTTGACAAGCTGACTCCAAAATGTATTTGAAAATGCAAAGACAAGTAATAGGAGGAGGAGGAGAAAAAGGAAGAGGAAAAGAAGAAAGAAAGTTTTACTCTACCAGAAATCAAGACTTGTTATAAAACTAAGTAATAGGTGATAGACACAGTGACAGAACAGAATATGTGGATTCTTGATTTATGAAAATGGCAGCATAGTCTCTTCAATGAATAGTGCTGGGAAAATTATTAAATATGTATCATTATAAAAAATGAAATGGGCTGGGTGTGGTGGCTCACACCTGTAATCTCAGCACTTTGGGAGGCTGAGGCGGGCAGTTCACAAGGTCAGGAGTTTGAGACCAGCCTGGCCTATATGATGAAACCCTGTCTCTACTAAAAAGACAAAAATTACCCAGGTTTGGTGACAGGCCCCTGTAATCCCAGCTACTCAGGAGGCTGAGGCAGGAGAACTGCTTGAACCCAGGAGGTGGAGGTTGCAGTGAGCTGAGATCACTCCACTGCACTCCAGCCTGGGTGACAGAGTAATACTCCATCTCAAAAAAAAAAAAAATGAAATGGACTACTACGTGCTACCATACACAAAAATCACCTTCAGATGTATTATAGGCCAAATATAAAAGGCCAAATTATAAAGTTTTTAATAACATAGAAGAAAATCTTAATAATTTTAAGAAAGGGAAGAATTTTTTTACATAAGCTATGAAAAGCATTAACCATAAAGGGAAAGAAGGGCAAATTTGATTGTACTTAAATTAAAAATGTGTATATGTGTGTACGTGCATGTGTACCAGGGTAAATGCATAATTATTTTTATAGCGTCATTGTTCCCAACAGCCAAAAGCTAGAAATAACCCACATGTGTATCAACAGTAATATAAAGAAATTTTTATATGCTCATACAATGAAATACTGTATAGGAATGAAAATTAATAAACTTGAGATACATGAAACAACTTAGAAAAATTCTAAAGACAAAATGCTGATGTAAAAAGTCAGACACAAGGACATACAGACTGAATTATTCTATTTCTATAAAGTTTGTTATGGGCTGAATTGTGCCTTCCAAAATTCACATGTTGAAGTTCCAACCCCCAATACCTCAGAATGTAAACATTTTTATCATGCCTTTACTGCTACTCATACCCATGCTACTCTGCTATTTTATCAGATTCAAAGCTGTCATCCAGAACTCAGATTCAACCAGTTGCCTCTGTTAATTACACCCAATGTTGGACATACCTTCCATGCCCATTCATGTGGATCTAGCCAACCTCTTTATCCGCACTATTCTTCTGTGTCCCTGGCCCAGGATTCCCTGGATTGTCTGTGACCCTCGGTCTCTCATTCAAAGTTAACATTTCCTCAGGTGATTTCTTTGATGAATCCTTTCCAGATTCTAATCACATTTGTTAACCTAATCAGCTGAATCTAATCACAATCTTCTGTGATGACTCATTTAAATATGACAGCACATTGCTTATCATTATCGTGTGTGTATGTGTTCTGTCTAGCATCAAAGTATAGGCTTTTATGTAGCAGGAATCATAACTTCTAAATATTTTACCTTTTAAATTTTTTAATGCTTATAAAGCGTGAAAATCACATGTAGTTCTTAGGTATTTAAACATCTTTCAGATATCACGTTTGTGGCACACCGAAATATCAGTGGGAGAAACAATCAGCCAGTGACTTACATAAGCAGTGAGAACCAATCAGCCACTCAACGGGTCATATTCTACCTGTACCCTATTGATCAGGAAACAGCCAATGAACTCTTAAGGGTTGCTGAGGCACAGAAGAGCTTTTAAACATTCTCCAAAACAGAGTTTTGAGGGAAGCAATATTATTAATCAAAACAGGAAAAGCCTTATAGAGCTAAAAAAGGATAGCTCTAATAATTTATTCAGCAGCATTTATAATCTTCTACTATGTGTCAGGCACTTTGCCAAGCACAAGGAAAAGATAGATTAAAATATATAACATATACGTTATGTGTATATATATGTATAACTACATATACATAACATATATTTACATATCCCTGCCACTAAAAAATATATAATCTGCATGAAACATAATACTTTATTTCAAACATATTAAGCTTAGCATTTAAGGTAAGAGCTTAGAAAGATAATCAAAGGTAATATTCATCTTTTATATTATATTCTATTTTACTGTTTTAAAAGCATTTCAGTAGTACCTTGATCCAGTTTGTTTTCTCACCATACACCTCCACGGAAATCCAGACACATATTTCTGCAATTTCTATTTTGCAGCAGAGGAAATGACAGTTGAAAAATGTCAGTCTGATTTTCTGGCAAGATAGCCGAATAGGAACAGCTCCAGTCTGCAGCTCCCAGCAAGATTGATGCAGAAAGTAGGTGATTTCTGCATTTCCAAATGAGGTATCTGGTTCATCTCATTGGGACTGGTTGGGCAGTGAGTGCAGCCCAAGGACAGTGAGCTGAAGCAGGGTAGGGGGTCGCTTTACCCAGGAAGCACAAGGGGTGGGAGAACTCCCTCTCCTAGCCAAGAGAAGCCATTAGGGACTGTACCGTGCACTCTGGCCTAGACACTTTTCCCACAGCTTTCGCAACCCACAGACCAGGAGATTGCTTCCAGTGCCTACAACACCAGGGCCCTGGGTTTCCAGCACAAAATTGGGTGGCCATTTGAGCAGACACCGAGCTGGCCTCAGTTTTTTTTCATACCCCAGTGGCACATGGAACACCAGCAATACAGAACTGTTCACTCCCCTGGAAAGGGGGCTGAAGCCAGGGAGCCAAGTGGTATGTCTTAGCGGGTCCCACTCCCACGGAGCACAGCAAACTAAGATCCACTGCCTTGAAATTCTCATGCCAGCACCGCAGTCTAAGCTCAACCTGGGACACTCGAGATTGGTGGGGTGAAGGGTGTCTGCCATTGCTGAGGCTTGAGTAGGCGGTTTTACCCTCATAGTGCAAACAAAGCTCCAGGAAGTTTGAACTGGGTGGAGCCCCCTGCAGCTCAGCAAGGCTGCTACAACCAAACTGCCTCTCTAGATTCCCTCCTCTCTGGGTAGGGCGTCTCTGAAAAAAAGGCAGCAGCCCCAGCCAGGGACTTATAGATAAAACCACCACCTCTCTGAGACAGAGCACCCGGGGGAAGGTGCGGTGGTGGGCACAGCTTCAGCAGCCTTAAACATACCTACCTGGTAGCTCTGAAGAGAGCAGTGGATCTCCCAGCACAGCATTCAAGATCTGAGAAGGGACAGCCTGCTTCTTCAAGTGGGTCACTGACCCCCGTGTATCCTGGCTGGAAGACACCTCCCAGTAGGGACTGACAGACATCTCATACAGGAGAGCTCTGGCTGGCATCTGGCAGGTGCCCCTCTGGGACAAAGCTTCTAGAGGGAAAAACAGGCAGCAATCTTTGCTGTTCTGCAGCCTCTGCCAGAGATACCCAGGCAAACAGGGTTGGGAGCAGACCTCCAGCAAACTCCTGCAGACCTGTAGCAGACGGGCCTGACTGTTAGAAGGAAAACTAACAAAAAAGGAATAGTATCAACATCAATAAAAAGGACGTCCACTCAGAGACCCCATCCAAAGGTCACTGACTTCAAAGACCAAAGGTAGATAATTCCACAAAGATGGGGAGAAATCAGCGCAAAAACCTGAAAATTCCAAAAACCAGAATGCCTCTTCTCCTCCAAAGAATCAGAACTCCTCACCAGCAAGGGAACAAAACTGGATGGAGAAGTAGTTCAATGAATTGATGGAAGTAGGCTTCAGAAGGTAGGTAATAACAAACTCCTCCAAGCTAAAGAAGCGTGTTCTAACCCAATGCAAGGAAGCTAAGAACCTTGAAAAAAGGTTAGACTAATTGCTAACTAGAATAACCAGTTTAGAGAAGAAAATAAATGACCTGATGGAGCTGAAAAACAGCACAAGAACTTCGTGAAGCATACACAAGTATCAATAGTTCAATCAATCAAGCAGAAGAAAGGATATCAGAGATTGAAGATTAACTCAGTGAAATAAAGCAAGAAGACAAAATTAGAGGGAAAAGAGTGAAAAGAAATGAACAAAGCTTCCAAGAAATATGGGACTATATGAAAAGACCAAATTGACATGTGATTTGTGTACCTGAAAGTGATGGGAGAATGGAACCAAGTTGGAAACGCTCTCCAGGATATTATCCAGGAGAACTTCCCCAACCTAGCAAGGCAGGCCAACGTTCAAATTCAGGAAATACAAGGACCATGACAAAGATAATCTGCTAGAACAGCAACCCCAAGACACATAATCATCAGATTCATCAAGGTTGAATGAAGGGAAAAATGTTACGGGCAGCCAGAGAGAAAGATCAGGTTACCCACAAAGGGAAGCCCATCAGACTAACAGCAGATTTCTCTGTAGAAAACCTACAAGCCAGAAGAAAGTGGGGGCCAATATTCAACATTCTTAAAGAAAAGAATTTTCAACCCAGAATTTCATACCCAGCCAAACTAGGCTTCGTAAGTGAAGGAGAAATAAAATCCTTTACAGACATGGAAAAGCTGAAAGATTTTGTCACCACCAGGCCTGCCCTACAAGAGCTCCTGAAGGAAGCACTAAACATGGAAAGGAACAACCGGTGCCACCCACTGCAAAAACATGCCAAATTGCAAAGACAATTGACGCTATGAAGAAACTGCATCGACTAACGGGCAAAATAACCAGCTAACATCATAATGTCAGGATCAAATTCACACATAAAAATATTAACCTAAAATGTAAATGGGCTAAATGTCCCAATTAAAAGACACAACTGGCAAACTGGATAAAGAGTCAAGACCCATCAGTGTGCTGCATGCAGGAGACCCATCTCACATGCAAAGACACACATAGACTCAAAATAAAGAGATGGAGGAATATTTACCAAGCAAATGGAAAGTAAAAAAAAAGGGTTGTAATCATGGTCTCTGAAAAAACAGACTTTAAACCAGCAAAGATTAAAAGAGGCAAAAAAGAGCATTACATAATGTTAAAAAGATCAAAGCAACGAGAAGAGCTAACTATCCCAAATATATATGCACCCAATACAGGAGCACCCAGATTAATAAAGCAAGTCCTTACAGACCTACAAAGAGACTTAGTCTCCCACACAATAATAATGGGAGACTTTAACACCCCACAGTCAATATTAGATCAATGAGACAGAAGGTTAACAAGGATATCCAGGACTTGAACTCAGCTCTGCACCAAGCAGACCTAATAGACATCTACAGAACTCTCCACCCTAAATCAATAGAATATACATTCCTCTCAGCACCACATCACACTTATTCCAAAATTGACCACATAGTTGGAAGTAAAGCACTCCTCAGCAAATGTAAAAGAATAGGAATCAAAACAAACTATCTCTCAGACCACAGTGTAATCAAATCAGAACTCAGGATTAAGAAATTCACTCAAAACTGCACAACTACATGGAAACTGAACAACCTGCTCCTGAATGACTACTCAGTAAAAACGAAATAAAGGCAGAAATAAAGACGTTCTTTGAAACCAATGAGAACAAACACACAACATGCCAGAATCTGGAACACACTTAAAGCAGTGTGTAGAGAGAAATTTATAGCATTAAATGCCCACAAGAGAAAGGAGGAAAGATCTAAAATCAACACCCTAATATCACAATTAAAAGAACTAGAGAAGCAAGAGCAAACACATTCAAAAGCTAGCAAAAGGCAAGAAATAACTAAGATCAGAGCAGAACTGAGGGAGACAGAGACACAAAAAACCCTTCAAAAAATCAATGAACCAAGGAGCTGGTTTTTTTAAAAGATCAACAAAATTTATAGACTACTAGCAAGACTAATAAGGAAGAAAAGAGAGAAGAATCAAATAGACGCAATAAAAAATGATAAAGGGGATATTACCAACCACTGATCCCACGGAAATACAAACTACTATCACAGAATACTATAGACAGCTCTTTGCAAATAAACTAGAAAATCTAGAAGAAATGGATAAATTCCTGGACACATACACCCTTCCAAGACTAAACCAGGAAGAAGTTGAATCTCTGAATAGACCAATACTAGGCTCTGAAATTGAGGCAATAATTAATAGCCTACCAACCAAAAAAAGTCCAGGACCAGACAGATTCACAGCCGAATTCTATCAGAGGTACAAAGAGGAGCTGGCACCATTCCTTCTGAAACTACTCCAATCAATAGAAAAAGAGGGAATCCTCCCTAACTCATTTTATGAGGCCAGCATCATCCCGATACCAAAGTCTGGCAGAGACACAACAAAAAAAGAGAATTTTAGACCAATATCCCTGATGAACATCGATGCAAAAATCCTCAATAAAATACTGGCAAACTGAATTCAGCAGCACATCAAAAAGCTTATCAACCAGGATCAAGTCAGCATCATTCCTGGGATGCAAGGCTGGTTCAACATATGCAAATCAATAAACATAATCCATCCCATAAACAGAACCATCGACAAAAACCACAGTTATCTCAAAAGATGCAGAAAAGGCCTTTGACAAAATTCAACAGTTCTTCATGCTAAAAACTCTCGATAAACTAGGTATTGATGGAATGTATCTCAAAATAATAAGAGCTATTTATGACAAACCCACAGCCAATACCATACTGAATGTGCAAAAACTGGAAGCATTCCCCTTGAAAACCAGCACAAGGCAGGGATGCTGTCTCTCACCACCCCTATTCAACATAGTGTTGGAAGTTCTGGCCAGGGCAATCAGGCAAGAGAAATAAATACAGGGTATTCAATTAGGAAAAGAGGAAGTCAAATTGTCCCTGTTTGCAGATGACATGATTGAATATTTAGGAAACCCCATCATCTCCGCCCAAAATCTCCTTAAGCTGATAAGTAACTTCAGCAAAGTCTCAGGATACAAAATCAATGTGCAAAAATCACAAGCATTCCTATACACCAATAGAGAGCCAAATCATGAGTGAACTCCCATTCACAATTGCTTCAAAGAGAATAAAATACCTAGGAATCCAACTTACAAGGGATGTGAAGGACCTCCTCAAGGAGAACTACAAACCACTGCTCAATGATATAAAAGAGGACACAAACAAATGGAAGAAAATTCCATGCTCATGGATAGGAAGAATCAATATCATTAAAATGGCCATACTGCCCAAGGTAATTTATAGATTCAATGTCATCCCCATCAAGCTACCAATGACTTTCTTCACAGAATTGGAAAAAACTATTTTAAAGTTCATATGGAACCAAAAAAGAGCCCACATTGCCAAGACAATCCTAAGCCAAAAGAACAAAGCTGGAGGCATCATTCTACCTGACTTCAAAGTATATTACAAGGCTACAGTAACCAAAACATCATGGTACTGGTAGCAAAACATCATGGTACTGGTACCAAAACAGATATATAGACCAACGGAACAGAACATAGGCCAAAAATAACACCACACATCTACAACCATCTGATCTTTGACAAACCTGATAAAAACAAGAAATAGGGAAAGGACTCCTTATTTAATAAATGGTGCTGGTAAAACTGGTTAGCCATATGGAGAAAGCTGAAATTGGATCCCTTCCTTATACCTTATACATAAATTAATTCAGGATGGATTAAAGACTTAAATGTTAGACCTAAAACCAGTAAAAGCCTAGAAGAGGACCTAGGCAATACCATTCAGGATACAGGCATGGGCAATGACTTCATGACTAAAACAACTAAAGCAATGGCAACAAAAGCCAAAATTGACAAATGGGATCTAACTAAACTAAACGACTTCTGCATAGCAAAAGAAACTACCATCAGAGTGAACAGGCAACCTACAAAATGGGAGAAAATGTTTGCAATCTACCTATCTGACAAAGGGCTAATATCCAAAATCTACGAAGAACTTAAACAAATTTACAAGAAAAAATCAAACAACCTCATCAAAAGTGGGCAAAGGATATGAACAGACACTTCTCAAAAGAAGACATTTATGCAGCCAACAGACACATGAAAAAATGCTCATCATCACTGGTCATTAGAGAAATGCAAATCAAAACCACAATGAGATGCCATCTCACACCAGTTAGAATGGCGATCATTAAAAAGTCAGGAAACAACAGATGCTGGAGAGGATGTGGAGAAATAGGAACACTTTTATACTGTTGGTGGGACTGTAAACTAGTTCAATCATTGTGGAAGACAGTGTGGCGATTCCTCAAGGATCTAGAGCTAGAAATATCATTTGACCCAGCAATCCCATTACTGGGTATATACCCAAAGGATTATAAATCTTGCTTCTATAAAGACACATGCACACGTATGTTTATTGCAGCTCTAATCACAATAGCAAAGACTTGGAATCAACCCACATGTCCATCAATGATAGACTGGATTAAGATAATGTGGTACATATACACCATAGAATACTATGCAGCCATAAAAAAGGATGAGTTCATGTCCTTTGCAAGGACATGGATGAAGCTGGAAACTATCATTCTGAGCAAACTATCACAAGGACAGAAAACCAAACACTGCATGTTCTCACTCATAGGTGGGAATTGAACAATGAGAACACTTGGACATAGGGTGGGAAACATCACATCCTTGGGCCTGTCTTGGCATGGAAAGCAGGGGGAAGGATAGCATTAGGAGAAATACCTTAATGTAAATGACAAGTTAATGGGTGCAGCAAACCAACATGGCATATGTATACCTATGTAACAAACCTGCATGTTGTGCACATGTACCTTAGAACTTAAAGTATAATAAATAAATAAATAAATAAGAAAACTTACAATCATGGTGGAAGGGGAAGCAGGCACATTTTCACATGGTAGAGCAGGAGATAAAGCAACAGCTGGAGGAAGTGCTACACACTTTTGCAACAACCAGATCTCATGAGAACTCACTCACTATCATGAGAACAGCATGCAGTAAGGCTGCCCCCAAGATTCAATCACCTCCCACCAGACCCCTCCTGCAACACTGTAGATTACAATTCAACATGAGATTTGGGTGGGGCCACAGAGCCAAATAATTTCATTCTGCCTCTAGCCCCTCCCAAATCTCATGTCCTTCTCACATTTCAAAACACAATCATGCCTTCCCAACAGTCCCCCAAAATGTTAACTCATTCCAGCATTAACTCAAAGGTCCAAGTCCAAAGCATCATCTGAGACAAGGCAAGTCCCTTCCACCTATGAGCCTGTAAAATCAAAAACAAATTAGTTACTTCCAAGACATAATGGGGATACAGGCACTGGATAAATGCTCCCATTCCAAAAGGGAGAAATCAGCCAAAACAAAGGGGCTACAGGTCCCATGCAAGTCCAAAACCCAGCAGGGCAGTCATTAAATCTTAAAGCTCCAAAATAATCTCCTTTGACTCCATGTCTCACATCCAGGCCACACTGACACAGGGGGTGGGCTCCCAAGGCCCTAGGCAGCTCTGCCTCTGTAGCTTTGCATGGTACAGCCCCCTTGGCTGCTTTCATGGCTGGCACTGAGTGCCTGCAGCTTTTCCAGGTGCATGGGGCAAGCTGTCAGTGGATCTACCATTCTGGGGTCTGGAGAACAGAGGCCCTTTTCTCACAGCTCCACTAGGCAGCCCCAGTGGAAACTCTTTGTGAAGGCTCCAACCCCACATTTCCCCTCCACCCTTCCCTAGTAGAGGTTCCCCATGAAGACTCCACCCCTGCAGCAGACTTCTGCCTGGAAATCCAGGCATTTCCATACATCCTCTGAAATCCAGGCAGAGGCTCCCAAGCTTCAATTCTTGCCCTCAGCCAACCCACAGACTTAACACCACATGGAGGCTGCCAAGGTTTGGGACTTGCACCCTCTGAAGCAATGGCCTGAGCTGTACTTTGGCCCCTTTTAGCCACAGCTGGAGCTGGAGTCACCAAGATGCATGGCACTGTCCTGAGATGTCCCAAAGCTGCACAGAGCAGTGAAGCCCTGGTCTACAAAATCATTTTTCCCTCCTAGACCTCTAGGCCTGTAATGGGAGGGGCTGCTGTGAAGGTCTCTGAAATGCCTTGGAGGCATTTTCCCCATTGTCTTGGCTATTATCATTTGGCTCCTCTTTACTTATGCAAGTTTCTGCAACAGGCTTGAATTCCTCCCCAGAAATTTCTACCATATGATCAGGCTGCAAATTTTCCGAACATCTATGCTCTGCTTCCTTTTTAAATATGAGTTCCAGTCTGGGTGTGGTGGCTCACACCTATAAGCCCAGCACAATGGGAGGCCAAGGTGGGCAGATTGCCTAAGGTCAGGAGTTTGAGAACAGTCTGGCCAACATGGTGAAACCCTGTCTCTACTAAAATTATAAAAAAAATAAGCCAGAAGTGGTGGCCTACACCTGTAATCCCAGCTACTCAGGAGGCTGAGGCAGGGGAATTGTTTGAACCAGGGAGGTGGAGGTTGCAGTGAGCCAAGATGGCACCACTGCACTCCAGCCTGGTTGACAGAGAGAGACTCCATCTCAAAAAATATATATATGTATATATATATGTGTGTGTGTGTGTGTGTATATGTGTGTGTCATATATACACACACACAGACACACACATATACACACACACACACACATATATATACACACACATATATATATATTCCAGTTTCAGATAATCTCTTTGGGCATGCATATGAGTGTATGCTGTTAGAAGCAGCCAGGTCCCTTCTTGAATGCTTTCCTGCTTAGAATCTTCTTATCTCCAGCTCCTAATAAGTTCCTCATCTCCAGCTGAGACCTCCTCAGCCTGAACTTCATTTTCCATATCACTATCAGCATTTTGGTCACAACCATTCAACAAGTCTCTAGAATGGTCCAAACTTTCCTTCATCTTCCTGCCTTCTTCTAAGCCTGCCAAACTGTTCCAAATTCTGTTCATTACCCACTTCTGAAGCTGCTTCCACATTTTCAGGTATCTTTGTAGCAATGCCCCACTTCTCTGGTATCAATTTTCTATGTTAGTCTGTCCTCACATTGCCATAAAGAACTACCTGAGGCCAGGTGTGGTGGCTCACGCCTGTAATCCCAGCACTTTGGGAGGCCGAGGCAGGCGTATTACAAGGTCAGGAGTTCAAGACCACCAGGGCCAACATAGTGAAACCTCATCTCTACTAAAAATACAAAAATTAGCCAGGCATGGTGGCGGGCACTGGTAGTCCCAGCTACTTGGGAGGCTGAGGCAGGAGAATCACTTGAACCTGGTAGTCAGAGGTTGCAGTGAGCCGAGATTGCACCACTGCATTCCAGCCTGGGTGACACAGTGAGACTCTATCTCAAAAAAAAAAAAAAAAAAAAAAAGAACTACCTGAGACTGGGTAATTTATGAAGAAAAGAGGTTAAGTTAACTCATAGTTCCGCAGGCTGTACAGGAAGCTTGGCTGGGAGGCCTCAGGAAACACAATCACAGCAGAAGGGGAAGCAAGCACATCTTCACACTGTGGAGCAGGAGACAGAAAAAGAGATGGGGGAGGTGCTCCACACTTTTACGACAATGAGATCTCATGAGAACTCACTCACCAAATAAGAACAGCAAGGGCGAAGTCAGCCTCCATGATTTAATCACCACCCACCAGGCCCCTCCTCCAACACTGGAGATTACAATTTGACATGAGATTTGGGTGGGGACACAGAGCCAAAGTGCACCCATGCTCATCACAGCATTAATCACAATAGCCACAATATGGATGTATATTATTCAACCTTAACAAAGAAGGAAATTCATAAAAAATAATAATACTAATATACTAAATATAAATATTTATGTATGAATAAATATATTTATATATTATATATTTTCTTATATACATTATTCTATTATATATATCATAAATATATATTTACTATATATTATGTTTATAATATCAACATAATATATATTTGTAAATAAAAATATACTAAAATAATACAATTAAAAATAATACATAATAAAAACAAATTATTTAAAAAGAAGGAAATCCTGCCATTTGCCACAACATGGATAAACCTAGAGGACATTATGCTAAGTGAATAGTGAATGAAATAAATCAGACACAGATAGAAAATACTGCACGATTTCACTTATACATGGAAACTTAAAAAAAAAAAACTCGAATACATAGAAATAGTAGAAAGGTGGCTGCCAAAGGTGAGCGAGAGGGAGATGGAGAAATGGAGGTCAAAAAGTACAGAATTTCAGTTATGTAAGATAAATAGCCCTAGAGATATAAAGCACAGCATGAGGAATACAGTTAATAATACATATTGTATTGTATACCAGAAATTAGCAAAAAGAGTAGCTTTTAGGTACTTTACCACATACAAACAAATGTAACTGGCTAGGTGTAGTGGTTCACTCCTCTAATTCCAGTACTTTGGGAGGCTGAGGCAGGAGGATTGCTTGAGTCCATGAGTTCGAGACCAGCCTGGCAACCTAGTGAGACCCTCATCTGTACAAAAAATAAATTTTAAAAAAATAGCAAGCATAGACATGCTTGTAGTTCTAACTACTTGGTAGGCTGAGGTGGGAGGATCACTTGAGCCCAGGAGATAAGAAGTTGCCATGAACCATGATCAGGCCACTGCACTCCAGCCTGAGACAGAGCTAGACCTTGTCCAAAAAAAAAGTAACCATGTGAGATGAATCTGTTAATTTGCTTGGCGGAAATCATTTCACTATGAACATGTATATGAAAACATTATGTTGTACACCTTAAATATATAAAATTTAAAATGTATATGTAATAGAAGAATTTAATATTTTCCCTTGCTGTTACAGGTACAGAAGTTAGTAAATTGTTGTTCTTTCTCTTTTCCACAGGAGTAACAAAATAAATAAAATTGAAATCTTGCCCTGTAAAGTCAAAAGACTAGAGGAAATCCAATTTAGAACCCTGAAAGTCAGTTTTAATGAGGAAATTATGCCACCTCGTGGTAATTTAGTATATTGCCACATATAACTGTTTTCAGGATACAGTATTACTAAATTTTGAGATTGTTCTCCAGCTTGCAAGTAGAGGACCTCCTATGATTTCATGTCAACTTACTTGAGGGAAAGAAAAGTGTTGCCTATTAAATGAGATAGTTATGATCTGATCTTCGACGAACCTGACAAAAACAAGCAATGGAGACAGGATTCACTAATAAATGGTACTGGGACAACTGGCTAATCATATGCAGAAAATTGAAACTGGACCCCTTTCTTACACTTTACACAAAAATTAACTGAAGATCACTTAAAGATTTAAATGTAAAACCCAAAACTATAAAAATTCTAGAAGAAAATCTAGGTCATTGGCACAGGCAAATACTTTATGAAGAAAATACCAAAAGCAATTTCAACAAAGACAAAAACTGACAAATGGGACCTAACTAAATTAAGGAGCTTCTGCACAGCAAAAGAAACTATCATCAGAGTGAACAGACAACCTACAGAATGGGAGAAAATTTTGCTATCTATCCATCTAACATAAGTCTAATATCCAGAGTCTACAAAAGATTTAAACAAATTTACAAGAAAAAAATAAACAACCCCATTAAAAAGTGGGCAAAGGACATGAACAGACACTTCTCAAAAGAAGACATTCATGTGGCCAACAAACATATGAAAAAAAGCTCAGCATCACCGATCATTAGAGAAATGCATATCAAAACCACAATGAGATAGCACCTCACACCAGTCAGAATGGCAGTTACTAAAAAGTCAAAAAACAACAGATGCTGGTGAGGTTGCAGAGAAAAAAGAACACTTTTACACTGTTGGTGGGAGTGTAAATTAGTTCAACCATTGTGGAAGACAGTCTGGTGATTCCTCAAAGATCTAGAAGCAGAAATAATATTTGACCCAGCAATCCCATTACTGGGTATATACCCAGAGGAATATAAATCATTCTACTATAAAGATACACACGCATGTATGCTCATTGCAGCACATTTCACAATAGCAAAGACATGGAATCAACCCAAATGCCCATCAATGATAGATCGGATAAAGAAAATGTGGTACCTATACATCATGGAATACTATGCAGCCATAGAAAGAAATGAGGTCATGTCCTCTGCAGGAACATGGATGAAGCTGGAAGCTGTTATCTTCAGCAGAATAACACAGGAACAGAAAACCAAACACCTCATGTTCTCACTTATAAGTGGGAGCTGAACAATGAGAACACATAGACACACGGGGATAACAACACACACTGGGGCCTGTTGGGGGCAAGGGGAGCATTAGGAAGAATAGCTAATGGATGCTGGGCTTAATACCTAGGTGATGGATTGCTCTGTGTAGCAAATCACCATAGCACACATTTACCTATGTAACAAACCTGCACATCCTGTACATGTATCCTGGAACTTAAAAGTTGAAGAAAATAAATAAATAAATGAGACGGTTATAATGAATAAATAAAATGTTTGTATATAATTGAACCACTACTATCAGTAACAGGAAATCATTTGAGTTAGCTAATTCCAAAATAAGGGTTGTTCCCAAATGAAACATTATAATTCAATGTTTGGAGTTAAATTTTTATACTGGCTGCAGAGAGAGACTGAAGTCACTAACAAAATTTTTACCTTCATTGTTCAGTGGAAAACAAAAGGTCTGAAGGACACCTCAGAAGCCAAGCTCACCAGTGAAGCCATTTAACTGGGCCTTGGTCCAAACCCATCCAGGCCCAAGTGAGATTCTTGCAGGCACAGTAATGATGAGATTATTAGTGCTGGGCATGGGGCGGGGGTGGGGGCAGTTGGTGGAGAATACTGCCTTAGCTGGAGGCCTAAACAGGCAGTTAATAGGTTATTCAGCTAAAAATTGCTCCAAGGTAATTTTCTTTTAAAGCAAAAAGATCTAAAAACAAAGTTGCAGAGAACAAAGTAAAAACCAAGCAGTAACTAATAACAGTGAAAATCTGGCAAAAGATGGCACAATCTTTATCATATCTGGTGATGAAAAGAGTCAAACTCTGTAAATTATTTGAAGAGATTAATTCTGAGCCAAATATGAGGGACATGCCCCCGTGAGACAGCCATCAGGATGTCCTAAGAACATGTTCCCAAGGTGTTCAGGGTGCAGCTTGGTTTTATATATTTTAGGGAGACATAGGACTTTAATCAAATACTTTCAAGAAATACATTGGTTTGGTCCAGAAAGGCAGGACAACTCAAAGTGGTGGGGGCAGTGGGGCAGAGCTTCCAGCTTATAGGTAGATTTAAAAATGTTCTGGTTGACAATTGGTTGAGTTTATCTGAAGACCTGAGATCAATAGAAAGGAATGTCTGGGTTAAGATAAAGGATTGTGGAGACCAAAATTCTTATTTGCAAAGGAAGCCTTCAGGTAGTAAAGGGAATAGGTTGTAAAATGTTTCTTATCAGACTTAAAGTCTGTGCTGATGTTAATGCTGGACAGGTATAATGAGGCATGTCCTACCCCCACTTCCCGTCATGGCCTGAACCAGTCTTTCAGGTTAAGTTTTAAGAGTGCCCTGGCTGAAAAGGAAGTCCATTCAGATGGTTGGGGGGACTTAGAATTTATTTCTGGTTTACATATCATTCCCTTAACATAAAAATAAAAGCAGCTATTAGAAAAGAGTTCAATGACTTATGCTGTTATTTAATAGACATTAATTTTTGAAGCAGAAAAGCATATTGGTTGTTTAACTTGAACTCTCACATGAAGTTTTGCTTAACAGAAGACCTCATAACAATTTGTATTAAAAAGATTTAGCGTAAGTAATGTGCTTTGAACAGTACACAGAGTAGCTCAATACACTATGCATACATGGTAGCAATTATCATTAGACTATCACTATAGTATGTTTTTCTTGTTGTCTACAAGCTTGCCTCTGACAAAAAAAACAAACAAAAACAAAAAAAAAACAGCATAACTCACAAAATGCTGAGGAAAACAGAACAAAACAAAACTACTGCCCTTTGGATGATTATAACTGCATGTGATTCAAAATGCTGCTTCATATCTCAGTGACAAATCTGAAAAGGATGAAAATACTAACCATTATGAGAATCATGAAACATTAATGAAAAAGGTGATATTTAAATTAAGCATTAAAGAATAGGTTGGGTTAACAAAATAATGCACATTGCTTCCAAAGACCATTTCAAATATCTCCAACTGGTTTTATATTTCCTTGCATTTGAGAATCACAATTCTGGAGGGAAGTTTGCATAAACACCTCACTTCTCTCTGTACCCATAAACTTTGCCATGTAACTTTGCAGTGTCCTCCCACCATGATTCTGGGCTTGCCCCTGTGACTTTCTTTAGCCATGGGAAATTAGCTGGGATGCAAGTAGAGGCTTGAAAAGTACTTATTCAATTTCACTTACTTTTGCGTCTCTGCCTTTGTTATGAGAAGATCGTGTCTGAGCTAGCTCTTTAGTGGCAGAAGGATGAGAAAACCTTCTCAGCAGTCTCCTCAACCCCATTGAGTCTAAATCAACTGAATACCAGCTGGCCACAGATGTGAGTCTAACCAAGGCCAGCTGAGCCAATCATTCAAGCCCTGCCTAGACCAGCTGACCACAGCCAACTCACAAACTCAGAAATAATAAGCATTTTAAGCCACTGAGCTTTGAGGGTGGTTTTGTACCTGGCAGTGGCTAACTAGTACATTCCATAATTACTAGGGCATTTTGCTTATTTTATTCTTGTTCCAACTTCTTAGTCAAAAAATGACTTTTATTCTGATTTATAAATATGTTTTTGAGATCAAGATAGCTGACTGAATGCCCTTGTTTACTTCTTCTCCCTCCCAATATCTTCTTTTAAATGACAAAATAAATATAAAAATTAATCTATGGCAGCATCGAAAATCCAGGAGGTGAATAATAACAGACCATAAAATTGAGAAACTTCTAGAAGACTAAGTATATGGAAATAAATTGCCAACAAAATACAACCAACCTAAATTTCAAAACATCAGATATGAGAAAAGAGATTTCTTTAAAAAATAAGAGTTTGGCAAGGTGTGGGGGCTCACTCCTGTAATCTTAACACTTTGGGAGGCCAAGGTAGGCAGATCACTTAAGCCCAGGAATTTAAGACCAACTTGGGCAACATGGAAAAACCCCCTCTTTACAAAAAATACTTTAAAAAATATAGCTGGGTGTAGTGGCACACACCTATAGTCCCAGCTACTCGGGAGGCTGAGGTGGAGGATCACTTGCCCAGGAAGTGGAGGTTTCAGTGTGCCAAGATGGTGCCACTGCACTCCAGCCTGGGTGACAGAGCAAGACTTTGTCTTAAAAAGAAAAAAAAATCTAGTTGGGCATAGTGGCACATGCCTGTGGTCCCAGCTACTTGGGAAGGATCACTTGAGCCCAGGAGGTTGAGACTGCAGTAGGCTATGATCATGCCACTGTACTCCAGCCTGGGCAACAGAGCAAAACCCAGGCTCAATAAAATAAAATAAAATAACTGGACTACTAAATTTATTTGTTTATGCATGATGCTCTACTATCACTGTTGTGGTTCAAATACACCTTCAAAGTCCTCTGACCATAATTCCAATTTGAGGACAGGTGGAAAATATGTGTAACTTCATGATGACAAAAGCTGGGCAAGCAGAAAAAAATATAGCATGTCTTGTTAAGAGGGAGACTGTTCTAAGTGTCAAAGACTACAGGTACAAGCCCTATTATCATAGATAGTTGTGTGATAACCTTCCTGTGAGTATCTTCTTGTCAGCCTCCCCCATCTCCAACTGAATCTTTGACAATCAACTTCCAGGCAAAGATACAAATAAGACCCACAGACAGGTTCTTCCTACTATATGATATAGCAGCATACTTGGAGTTAGACTAACTAAAAAGTGAGGGCACAATTCTCCAGACTGCAAGCCTTCTGACACCAACTATAAGTTTTGAGTTTCCCAAAATCACCCTCAGATTCAATAACTTGCTTGCAAGATTCATAGTACTGAAAGCTTGTATATTCTCAGTAACCAGCCAAAGGAAGAGATGCATCGGGTGGAGTTGTGGAGGGGTCCAAATGAAATAGGAGAGTTCCTTGACCCCCCTCTCAGGACGTGCAACAGGGGTGTGGCTCACCTGTTTGGTGCTCAAATCCTTGACAGGTGGGGGAGCATGCAGACAGGGAGGTGGAGTACCTAGGGTGAGTGATGTGGACTCCAGCCCCATAGTAGTCTCTAGGGGTGGGTGCCTGCGGCCCCAGTGTCACAATGCTCTTTTAACCTTGCCTTCCTCAGATGGCTTAAGTGTTAACCAGCTCAATGGGCCCTCTGCCTTTTCACAAGAGCAGAGGGCTAGTGTGACAGCTTTCTGTATCCTGAGCTCTTGCCCAGTGTCCTGAAAGAATTGGGTCACACACGGGCTTGAAGGATGAATGCAGAGGTTTTAATGAGTGGTGGAGGTGGCTCTCAGCAGGATGGATGGGGAGCTGGAAGTGGGGATGGAGTGGGAAGATGATCTTCCCCTGGAGTTTGGTCATCCAGCAGCTGAACATCTCTCAGACTGCCCCCAGCCGAACTCCTCTTTGTGTTCAGACATTCCTTCTCTTCTTTCTCTGCTGTGCCATTCTACCATTTGCCTCCTTATCTCCTTGTCTCTTTGTCTCCTCATCTGCTTCTGGAGCCTGAGGTTCGGGGTTTATTTGGGTACAGGATACAGGGGCAAGGCAAACCAAAAGGCAACTTTTGGGGCACAAAAACAGAAGTGCCTGTTCTCAGTTAGGGCCATGGGTCTCCAGGCTTGAGAATGGGGCCTTTGCTGGGGAAACGCCCTTCTTCTACCCAGTATTTCCCTGTCTCCTGTCCACATCGCAAATGCTGAGCTTTCCGTTAACCTCTACCCATGGATCCATAGCCAGTGTTACTTCCTCCCAGCCACAGTGGGCTACAATACCTGTACAAGGCAAAGCTCATCCTACTGTCTATGTCCAGGGGTTTTATTCAGGCTTAATGGTTAATTCATTGGCCACAGGTTAAATGTAGGCATCAGCTCTCCCTTCTTCCCAGGAGGTCAGTCTGACATCATGGGGGCCCACCATTACACACCTTATTTTATTTTGAGATAGGGTGTCACTCCTTCATCCAGGCTAGAGTGCAGTGGTGCCATCATAACTCACTACAGCCTCAACCTCCTGGGCTCAAGCAATCCTCCCACCTCAGCTTCCCAAGTAGCTGGGATCACAGGCACACGCTGCCATGCCTGGCTAATTTTTTTTTATTATTATTTTTAGAGATGGGGGTCTCATCACATCAGCCAAGTTGGTCTCCAACTCGTGGGCTCAAGCTATCCTCCCACTTCAGCCTCCCAAAGTGCTGGGATTAGGGGCATAAACCACAGCACTCAGGCCATGAATCACCTTATTAGCACTAACTAGCCTTGTGGTCTGAGGGGCCCACCAAGAATAACAAAGACATTCCTATCACTTAGGAAATTCCAATAGCTTAGAGATTACCTCCTAGGAGCCAAGACAAAGGCCAGGTCTCTCCTTGGATGAGGCCAGATTCTTTAAGAAGAAACTTCTCTGTTGACCAGAAAAGGTTCTGTGATTCTTATTGGGGAAGTAGGGTAAATATATGGTAAACAAAAGGCCAATATAATGATCTGCAGTCATGAGTTAACTGAGGGATATCCTTGTTATCTACAACAAGTGATAATAATGTAAGGAAGAAAAAATAATTTTCTCTACCATTCATAGTTCTTCACTGGGACTCCCTGTAACAAAAGATAGGTTAACAGGAGAAAAGGTTTATTAACATGTATATTTTCATATATACAAGAAAGACATGTAAGGAATAAGTAATTTTTTAGAGTACAGAGAAAAAGAGCATGGGGAAAAAGCCTGGTTAAGATGAGAGAGCCAGGAAAAGCACCTTACACAAAGGTAAGATTTGTTATCTGAGGGCACCTTCTCCATTTAGTCATCCCTCTCTTCTTTGTGCAAAGAAGATATCCTTACTGAGGAGAGGAAAGATCACCTCGGCCATCAAGCAGACCATCTGGAGGCAAAGCCCCTTATCTGAGGAATTCAAGAAGTAATTACACTTCCCTATTATCTTGTGAAAGGAAAATAAATCTCAGGACCCCAAAATCACAAGTCAAGGGAAAAGTCAAGCAGGGAACTACAAACCTGCCTCCCATTTTATTCCAAAATAAGATAGCTAAAAAGATAAAAGAGCTACATACCTCCCTCACAATTTGCCCACAAGGAAATTCCTTGTGGGCCTCAAGATCTTTACCCTAAAGGAGTTCTGTTGAATTTCACTGACAACAAACTGATAGCTTATCTTCACAGGTGCAGCACAGAAAATCATCCCTCTGCTATCTGAGACAAATGCATATCTGATTGCTTCCTCTGCCCTACTGTTTATGTAAAAATACAGATTCATTGAGCCATATTAAATTGTGTATTCTGTGGAAGGCTGATCAAGGACTCAAAAGAATGCAACATTTTGTCTGTTATTTACTTATGACCTGGAAGCCCCCCCATGCCCTCCCCTCTTTCAAGTTGTCCCATCTTTCCCATCCCATCTTTCCCAACCAAACCAATGTACATCTTATACATATTGATTGATGATACATATATATATGTATAAAATGTATAAAAGCAAGCTGTAACCCAAACACTTTGGGCACATGTCATTAGGACCTCCTGAGGCTGCATCACAGGTGCATCCTTAATGCTGGCCAAATAAACTTTCTAAATTGGTTGAGACCCATCTCAGATATTTTGGGTGCACAATCTAAAACACGCTTGTCCAGCCCACAGTTCACAAGCTGCATGTGGCCTGGGACAGGTTTGCATGCAGCCCAACACAAATTCATGAGCTTTCTTAAAACACTATAAGAGATTTTTTGTGATTTTTTTAAGCTAATCAGCTATCATTAGTGTTAGTGTATTTTGTGTGGCCCAACACAATTCTTCTTCTAATGTGGCCCAAGGCAGGCAAAATATTGGACAACGCTAATTTAATATCCGTTATTTCTTTCTTTTGCCTGATTGCCCTGGCCAGAACTTCCAATACTATGTTGAATAGGAGTGGTAAGAGAGGGCCTCCTTGTCTTGTGCCAGTTTTCAAAGGGAATGTTTCCAGTTTTTGCCTATTCAGTATGATATTAGCTGTGGGTTTGTCATAAACAGCGCTTATTATTTTGAGATACGTTCCATCAATGCCTAGTTTATTGAGAGTTTTTAGCATGAAGAACTGTTGAATTTTGTTGAAGACCTTTTCTGCATCTATTGAGATAATCATGTGGTTTTTGTCTTTGGTTCTCTTTATGGGATGGACTACGTTTATTGATTTGCGTATTTTCAACCAGCCTTGCATCCCAGGGAAGAAGCCGACTTGATCGTGGTGGATAAGTTTTTGATGTGCTGCTGAATTCAGTTTGCCAGTATTTTATTGGGGATTTTCGCATCAATGTTCATCAGGGATACTGGCCTGAAATTTTCCTATTTGTTCTGTCTCTGTCAGGTTTTGGTATCAGGATGATGCTGGCCTCATAAAATGAGTTAGGAAGAATTTCCTCTTTTTCTATTGTTTGGAATAGTTCCAGAAGGAATGGTACCAGCCCCTTTTTGTACCTCTGGTAGAATTCGGCTGTGAATCTGTCAGGTCCTGGATTTTTTTGTTGGTAGGCTATTAATTACTGCCCCAATTTCAGAATTTGTTATTGGTCTATTCAGGGATTCGACTTCTTCCTGGTTTAGGAAAAGAAGAAGTCAAATTGTCTCTGTTTGCAGATGACATGATTGTATATTTAGAAAACCCCATCGTCTCAGCCCAAAATCTCCTTAAGCTGATAAGTAACTTCAGCAAAGTCTCAGGATACAAAACCAATGTGCAAAAATCACAAGCATTCTTATACACCAATAACAGACAAACAGAGAGCCAAATCATGAGTGAACTCCCATTCACAATTGCTACAAAGAGAATAAAATACCTAGGAATCCAACTTAAAAGGGATGTGAAGGAACTCTTCAAGGAGAACTACAAACCACTGCTCAATGAAATAAGAGAGAACACAAATAAATGGAAATACATTCCATGCTCATGGATAGGAAGAATCAATATTGTGAAAATGGCCACACTGTCTAAAGTAATTTATAGATTCAGTGCTATCCCCATCAAGCTAACATTGACTTTCTTCACAGAATTGGAAAAAACTACTTTAAAGTTCATAGGGAACCAAAAAAGAGCCCACATTGCCAAGACAATCCTAAGCAAAATGAACAAAGCTGGAGGCATCACGCTACCTGACTTCAAACTACACTACAAGGCTTCAGTAACCAAAACAGCATGGTACTTATACCAAAACAGATACATAGACCAAAGGAACATAACGGAGGCCTCAGAAATAACACCACACATCTACAACCATCTGATCTTTCACAAACCTGACAAAAACAAACAATGGGGAAAGGATTCCCTATTTAATAAATGGTGCTGGGAAAACTGGCTAGCCATATGCAGAAAGCTGAGACTGGTTCCCTTCCTTATACCTTATACAAAAATTAACTGAAGATGGATTAAAGATTTAAACATAAGACCTAAAACCATAAAAAGCCTAGAAGAAAACCTAGGCAATACCATTCAGGACATAGGCATGGGCAAGGACTTCATGTCTGGAATACCAAAAGCAATGGCAACAAAAGCCAAAATAGACAAATGGATCTAATTAAACTAAAGAGCTTCTGCACAGCAAAAGAAACCACCATGAGAGTGAACAGGCAACCTACAGAATGGGAGAAAATTTTTGCAATCTATCCATCTGACAAAGGGCTAATATCCAGAATCTACAAGGAACTTAAACAAATTTACAAAAAAAAAAAAAAAAAAACAACCCCATCAAAAAGTGGGCAAAGGATATGAGAACAGACACTTCTCAAAGGAAGCCATTTATGCAGCCAACAAACATATGAAAAAAAGCTCATCATCACTGGTCATTAGAGAAATGCAAATCAAAACCACAATGAGATAACACCTCATACCAGTTAGAATGGTGATCATTAAAAAGTCAGGAAACAACAGATGGTGGAGAGGGTGAGGAGAAATAGGAATGCTTTTACACTGTTGGTGGGAGCGTAATTTAGTTCAACCACTGTGGAAGACAATGTGGCGATTCCTCAAGGATCTAGAACTAGAAATACCATTTGACCCAGCAATCCCATTACTGGGTATATATCCAAAGGATTATAAATCATTCTACTATAAAGACACATGCACACGTATGTTTACTGTGGCACCGTTCACAATAGCAAAGACTTGGAACCAACCCAAATGCTCATCAATGATACACTGGATTAAGAAAATGTGGCACATATACACCATGGAATACTGTGCAGCCATAAAAAACGAAGAGTTCATGTCCCTCGCAGGGACATGGATGAAGCTGGAAACCATCATTTTCAGCAAATTAACACAATAGAAAACCAAACACTGCATGTTCTCACTCGTAAGTGGGAGTTGAACAATGAGAACACATGGACACGGGGAGGGGAACATCACACACCGGGGCCTGTTGGTGGGAGGGATAGCATTAGGAGAAATACCTAATGTAGATGACGGATTGACGGGTGCAGCAAACCACCATGGCACATGTATACCTATGTAACAAACCTGCACATGCTGCACATGTACCCCAGAACTTAAAGTATAAAAATATATATATATTGGACACCTCTGACTAAAGCCACATCTGGTATCAGGCCTCTTTCCCAAAAATGTGTAAGTAACAAGAATTTCAATACATCTCCAGAATGCACGCATGTTGAAACCCATTGTGCAAACTTCGCTGACATCAAGGCACCAAAATGTCTACACATGTAACCATTTATCATGACCTACATTACTAATATGGTCCAAAGTATCCTTAAGCTCCTGCTTTAAGGTCCATAAATACCCCTACGGAAAATCCACAACTGCACACTCAGTCCTCTCTTGCTGAAGTGTCCCAGTACACTCTGCTGCAGTGTTCTTTCTAATAAAACTTTCCTTTTCAAACCTATACTATTGTTGGTAAATTCTTTTACCAGCAGGGAGCCAACCAGTCTTCACTGCCCGGGCTTTGACACCTTGCCTGGCACTTAAAAGTGGAGATTTCCTGTGTAAATTTATCTTACAAATGGGCACCTTTTCAGAACTACTCCTGCATCTGCAGTTTCTTAAAATAAGCAGTTCAAAATAATCAGTTCATCAAAGAGGCATATTTTGGGGTGGTATATTATGGTCTCCTGCAGTCATAGAGACTTTGGGGTGATGTGGCCTGATCCCAAACAATGACTAGATTCATAATACAAATATTAAATTACTAGTATGTCAAGTTACGTTATAAAATCATTCCCCTTTCATAAAGCAAAACTTTGTTTATGGAATTTTTGTTTTCCAGCAAGGAACCAAGAAGACTACTTAACCTCTCTAGTAGAATTTCTTAGCCTGGGCAACATGGCAAGACCCTGTCTCTACGAAAATTTAAAAATAAAAAAATTGGTTGGGTGTGGTGGCACACACCTGTGGTCTCAGCTACTTCAGAGGCTGAGGCAGGAGGATCACATGAGCCAAGGAGGTTGAGACTATAGTGAGCTATGTTTGCACTACTGAACTCTAGCCCGGGAGACAGTGAGACCCTCTCTCAAAAATAATAATAATAATAATAATAATAATAATAATAATAATAATAATAATTTCTTGAGGTTTTGAAGAACGAATAAATAAAAGGAAAATCCTTGAACATTTGTAGGGGACAGTATTCCCGGCTTATTCAACATTCTCCCCTACCTACTTTTTCCTTCCTAACAGAGTAATACCAATGTAATTCAGTTATCCACCCATTTCCCCAGGCAGCTAAATACCTTGGTGGAAGCTGATCCAACCCCTACATCCAGGGAGCAGCAAAACATAATTTTGCATATATTGCCAGAGATTGCCTCAGGAATTTGACACAAAGATTCATGATGGGAACTCTCATGGCAAGTTTTGAGGGAGTTATCTTGTTCCTAGGAGAGCACCAAAAATGTAGTCTCTCTTCATCCTCTGGATGTGGTTGTTTCTGGGTGTGATGCCTGGAAACACTTGCTACCAGTATGAGAATGAAGCTGCCACTGAAGAAAAGCATGATGAGAGCTAGAAATACCTGCATGACATCACTGAACCAGAGTCAAACAGCTCTGAAGCATGTCCAAATGTAGGCTTTCTATTGTTACAGTAGGTAGCTAGACAGGCATAAGTGGGGCAGGAGAGGGTTCCCCCCACATCCCAGGTGGCCATCAGGTGATGATCAGGTGGTTAACTGTCTCCATAATATAACTGGTCACAGCCAACACCAGGGAAAGGCAGTCTCCCAACATATACGAAACACCTAAGACTAGTGATCAGCAGCTTCCTGATAAGATCTCAGGAGTTGGGCGAGTAACCTCAAGCATGCACATTAACAGGCAAAACGGCAGAGTTTAACTGGTATATTACCTTTCAGAGGCATTCCACCAGAAAAGCGATCCTAGATGCCAGATGTAGGCCAGCATATAAAACCCTAAGGCCAAGGTCAAATAGTGCACTTGACCTCCAAGATGTTCACTTGGCCCTCTTCCAAGTGTACTTTACTTCCTTTCATTTCCTGCTCTACAACTTTGTAATAAACTTTCACTCCTCCTCTAATATTTGCCTGTCTCTCCTTTGCCTTATGCCCCTCAAATTATTTCTTCTCAAGAGGCAAGAATTGAGGTTGCTGCAGAACCGTATGGATTCACCACCAGTAACATATTTGGGCCAACAGGAATTGTTCTGGGGGTTGGTAAGCAAAAGGGGAAAAAACCACATATGGGGGTTGAACACCACCAAAGAAGGTGAGGCATAGAGATTTCTTACCACTAGGGAACATATCTGAGCCACATGGCTATTGTAACACTATTATGTGAAGTAGTAAATTATCCCTTTATTTAATTAATTTATTTATTTTTTTGAAACAGAGTCTTGTTCTGTCGCCCAGGTTGGAGGGCAGTGATGCGATCTCGGCTCACTACAACTTCCGACCCCTGGGTTCAAGCGATTCTCCTGCCTTAGCCTCCCAAGTAGCTGGGAATATAGGCATGCACTAGCATGCCCAGTTAATTTTTTATTTTTTTATTTTTTGAGACAGAGTCTCACGCTGTCACCCAGGCTGGAGGGCAGTGGTGCAACCTCGGCTCACTGCAACCTCCACCTCCCAGGTTCAAGCAATTCTCCTGCCTCAGCTTCCCAAATAGCTGGGACTATAGGTGCCCACCACCACGCCCAGTTAATTTTTTTATTTTTAGTAGAGACAGGATTTCACCATGTTGGCCAGGTTGATCTTGAACTCCTGACCTCAGATGATCCACCCACTTCGGCCTCCCAAAGTGCTGGGATTACCGCCACCGTGCCTGGACTAATTTTTGTATTTTTAGTAGGGATGGGGTTTCACCATGTTGGCCAGGCTGGTTTTGAACTCCTGACCTCAAGTGACCCACCCGACTCGGCCTCCCGAAGTGCTGGTATTACAGGCATGAGCCACCGACCCTATTGTTTTTATTTTATTATCCCTGCCTAGAGTAAGTGCTGAAATTTCCCTATTTTTTAAACCAGCCTGAGTTGAGGCTCTCCCAATCAAAATCATCTTAGTTGATAATAGCAATGAATAGAGGAGATGAAGAAAAAAATCTCATAGAACTCCAACAAAAGGAAAACCTGAGCCACAAAACTGAAAATATAAGTCATGAGAAATCTATAAATCTTCTTGTTAAAACTAAAATAATGCTGTTTATAACAGATGTAACTAAAGTACTGAAAATTAAGAAATGAAAAAATATATTTCTGATAAAAACTAACAAAGTGAAAATGGGATAACAATACTACTATTAAGCAAATTAAAATGAATAACATTAACAAGGCCTGAGAGAACTATGGCTAGAGATTGTTTTGTCAATTAAATTATATAACAATTATGTGCCTTAAAGCATCTGACAGCATGACTTCAACATACAAAAAGCAAAAAACTGACAAAATAAAAATTTTATAAATCCATAATCATGATAAAATATTTTTAAAACCTCCCTCAAAATTAAGCAGTTCACATAAGAAATGATATAAAGGATTTGAATAAGTTTGAACGTGTGCGTGTGCATATGTGTGTGTGTGTGTAGATCAGGCAGGCTTGGTCCACATAGAGGATCTCTAGAAGAGAAAAAAAGATCAGCAGTGTTTTTGGCTGCTTCTGAGTCTGGCATGACACATTTAAACTTTGACAAACCCCTAATACATATAGTTTTGTCCACAGGACATTTGCTGAATTCTGTGGCTACAAATGAAAAGGTGAGTAGACTGGTGGCCTCTAAAAAGAGTGAAATTTCCCATAATCTCAAATTACTTAGAAAACAACATTCTACTAAGAGTCCTCCACCTCAAGACACTTGCCAGATTTTGAAGCTGCAGGGGAACCAGAGGCTCAAGAGCCAATTAGATCAAAACCTCTAAACGGCAAAACTAAATTAGTCCTTCAGGGATAAGGAGCCAGAGACTCACAAGACTATAAATCAAAAGCCAAGGAGAACCATGCTCATAGAAGACATAAACTAGGCCGGGCACGGTGGCTCACGCCTGTAATCCCAGTACTTTGGGAGGCCGAGGCAGGCGGATCACAAGGTCAGGAGATCAAGACCATCCTGGCTAACACGGTGAAACCCCCCATCTACTAAAAAATACATAACATTAGCCGGGCGTGGTGGCGGGTGCCTGTAGTCCCAGCTACTTGGGAGGCTGACGCGGAATGGCATGAACCCGGAAGGCGGAGCTTGCGGTGAACCAAGATCGCGCCACTGCACTCCAGCCTGGGCGACAGAGTGAGACTCCGTCTCAAAAAAACAAAAAGAGATAAACTAGAGGTGAACTAAGTTTTACCAAGATTTCAACATAGCCCAAACCCAATAACCCTGATGGGATTGAAGAGACCAACCCCTCGTGATTAATATGTTGTTTAAAAAAAGAGGGAAAGGAATTAAAAGATAAACAATTTCAGCTGGTAATATTACAAGGAATTAAATAAGCATTCTGGAACTCAACAATGCAGCATCTGAAATTAAGAACTCGCTGAATGGATTTTACCAACAAACTGGAAGATTATATAACTCCGTTATATATGAGACTAGAAAACTCAAGACAGGTCAAAAATCTCAAACTGAGCACAGAGAAAAAAAAATAATGAGAAGACTAAAGTAGTGAATGAAACATGTGGGATATATCCAAAAGATCTAAAGTTAGAATCTCTGAAAGAAAGGAGACAGAGAATGGGGTATGTGGCAAACAGACTTGAAGATGGCCTCCGTGATTCCCACCTCCTTTGTTCACACCTTTCTGTGACCTCAAACGATCCTGTTGGACTGCATCATTCTTTGTTGTAAGGGGTTGTCCTGTGCTTTATGTTTAGCATCTCCAGCATCTACCCACTGGATTACAATAGCACTCTACAGTTTTAACAACCAAATGTCTCCTGATCTTGACAAATGTCCTCTGGAGGACAAAATCACCCAACTGAGAATCACTGATCTATACTGGGGGAAAAGAATCCCATCAGTGGCTGCTCCTGAAGCTGGAGGTGGGGCAGGGATTGACTAGGCTATAACACAAGGAAACAACTGGAGATAACAGAAATGATCTGTATCTAGGTTTTACCAGTCATTATACAAACATATATACATATGTAAGTATAAATTATAGGTAGCTTATAGACATTTTATATATAAGTAAAATTACAAGTAACTTATAAAAAACTGTCAAAATTCATGTAATTGTACACTTAAAATGCACTTATTGAGGGCTGGAGGGGGTGATGGTCTCCTATGACGTCAGAACAGGAGGTTGTCTGGGGAGGGGACCTCTGAGACTTGAGTCCCACAACTCAAGACTCAAGCAGGATTTCAGGACACAGAAGTTCAGGACAGAGCCCAAGGGCCCAGGAAGTACCGTGGGGTCTTTTGGGGCCTGAATCTATCCCTGACTCTGGTGCCCAAAGAAAGAAAAGCTTCAATGATGCGTCCACCTGCACATGAGCAACTGTTTAAGGATGGAGGGTTTGACCCAAGTGATGGATGAACCAGCTCTACTTTCTCTATACTTCGCCCATTACTAAAAAGACCTTAAAATGAGCAAATACCAGGTATCAGTTGTGTACAGAAATATGGAGTCTTTAACACATATATTTCTCAAAAATAATTAACCGAGCAGTCAAAACATAAGCACATAGCTACATATTTATTAAACAGGAAAACATATATAGAGAAATTTACCCTCAATAATCAGAAAATATACATTCTTTTCAAGTACAACTGGAAGCATTCACTAAATTAACTATGTACTAGGCCACAAAGATGCAACAATATACTCCAAAAAGTTAATATCATGCAAATCATGTTCTCTGACAATAATCCAATATAGAAAGAAAGCAATGATACAATTTTAAAAGAATATACCAGCAAACTAAATATCTAAGAAAACCTTCAGTTAAAAGGAAATCATGAAAGAAGTTAAAAAACACAAAATTAAATAACAATGAAAACAGTACCAGTCAAAACTTATGAGAAAAGTCTAATAAAGCATTTAGGGAAAAAATTATATCTTTAAATATCTTATTACAGAATAAACATCGAAAGCAAATCAAGCATTTAAGATGTTGCTTATTTTATAGCAAACACAAATTAACAACGAAGAAATGTTTAAGATGAAAGCAGGAATCAACGAAACATGTCAGAGATTTAACAAAACTAAAAGCTGATTCTGGGAGATTAATATAATAGGCAGAACTGGCAAAGCTAACCAAAAGAAAAGCAGAGATGCAAAAAAATAAAATGGAAGAAATGCAAAATTGAACAATTGCCACATTATGAGAATGGCAAAAATTAGGCAAATGAAGTACTGGCAAGGATGTGAGGAAATGGGTACTCAACTCAGTCCTGCTGGTAGGGGTGTAAACTCACAATCGTTCTGAAAAGTACATAAGTACTTAGTGAAATTTACCAGAGAAATTCTTGCATAGTTCTGTAAGTGAATAAGTTAAATGTGGTGGATACACACTGAAGAATTAAATGTACACAGAGCAATATGAACAAATCTCCAAAATATAGTAGTGAGTGAAAACTAAGTAACAGCATGGAACATTAGAGGTAGCACATCCTACATACCAAGTTGTCAAATATACAATCCCTGTACACCTTTATTTTTTGAGACAGTCTCACTGTCACCCAGGCTAGAATGCAGGGGCACAATCTTGGCTCACTGCAACCTGTCTTCTGGGTTCAAGTGATTCTCATGCCTCAGCCACCAAAGTAGCTGGGATTACAGGTATGTGTGCCACCACATCCAGAAAACTTTTTGTTTTAGTGGAGACGGGGTTTCACCATGTTGACCAGACTAGTTTCAAACTCCTGGCCTCAAGTGATCCGTTCGCCTCGGCCTTCCAAAATGCTGGGATTACAGGCATGAGCCACTGAGCCTGACCCCACCCCCTTTACATTTTTAAAAATGTCTGAGGTCCTCAAATAACTTTTACTTATGAGGATTACATTGATCGAAGAAATTGGAACTGAAAGTTTCGGAATATACAAGCACACATTCTATTACCCATCAGTGATGTCATGACATTATATAGCTTCTGTAAAACTCCACTGTTCACTTGTGAATATGAGGAAAAGGCAAATAACATCATAGTGCCAGTATAAAAATTTTGATCTCACATATTCCCTGAAAAGGATCTTGAAGGTTCAATACCACATCTTGATAGTGATCAAGAGATACATTAACTTCCTTTTTTCTGTCTGTGACTCTTGGTTAGGGCAAATTTCAAATCCATTATAATACATACATTGCAGCAACACTGAGTTTCTTATAATAGGTACTATCCAAAGCTTTCTTTTTTTTACATGTATCACTTAATCCTCACAACCACCTGAGGATTAATACCATTTACCTGTCTTACAGATAAGGAAAACAATCATTTTTCAATTATGACTATGCCCCCAAACACTGGTTTGGATGGAGCCTTCACTGGTATAGAGAATGACCTTCTTCCCTTAGACTAGACTCTGGCTATAATAAAGGATGGTTTAATCATCCCCTGAAGCAATGCATAAGATAATCTGCAATGTATCTTCACATACTGTACCTTATTTGATAGGCAAGAGACCCATAAAGGAAGCTGAGCATGGATTATCAGCTTCATCACAAATCTGAAGAAACTGACATTTATGTTATGTTGCCTTACCCAAGTTGGGACATCAGAGCAGCAACTAAAATCCAGGTCTTCTTCCTATTACATGCCGTAAAAGGTATTGTTTCTTTCCCTCCCCTCAAAATTTTCAGTCAAATGTCAGCTTTTAGGAAGAGCCAATCACTCTGAACTAGAATTGTTCTCTTCACTTAAAATTTCTCAAGCCTAACTTCTTTTTGGGTCCTACAAACCGGGAAAATACCTCAGAATTGGAACCACATGTTTACAGTATAAGAAATGACACAAGTGTGACTTGGGCAAAAAGAGGATAACTTTCCCCTTCAGAGAAATAATCCCTTTATCCAAGGCCTGGAGATTAGTGTTTGAGGTAGAATAAAAGCACAGTAAAATGATTCTATGGTTTGAATTTTGGCTCTTCTGCTCAAGTACTTTCTTTGGTAGTATACTAATTACCACTGAATTACTAATTATTAATTATTATTAATTACTAATAAAAGTAAAATGTAGTAGTGGTGGTGGTCTCTTTGAGTTATTGAACATTAAGTAGCAAACATTACATTAAGTACTTTATGTACACTCTTTCACTTACCATGTCCTTGAGATGATTATGACTAAATTTAATAAATGTCCTTTTGTGCACTAACCCATTTAAACCCCACATCCTTGAGATAGGAATAACTATTACTTCCCGCACTTGCAGAACAGTTTATAACTGCTACAGCCAGGCCTTAGCTACTATGCAATATTATAAAACTAAGAGTACAAAAACGAAGAAATCATGAAAGTCCCTTCAGTACAGCCAGAAAAGAACACTTCTAATTACTCAGAGAAATACATGTTGTGCCAGTCGCTTTATCTCCTTTAGCGAGGGAAATCTTCTAAGGTCTTCAATGACATAATGTCACTGAAACTATTCCCTCACACTTAAATAATGTACATGAAGATAAAATTCTAGGCTGTAATTTTCTTCCTTCGACACACTGGAAATTTTACTTTTTATCTTACTATTAAAACATCTGTTATCGGCCAGGTGCAGTGGCTCACACCCTGTAATCACAGCACTTTGTGAGGCCGAGGCAGGCAGATCACCTGAGTTCAGGAGTTCGAGGCTAGCCTGGCCAACATGGCGAAACCCCGTCTCTACTAATTAAAATACAAAAATTCTGGGAATGGTAGTGGGAGCCTGTAATCCCAGCTACTTGGGAGGCTAAGGCTGGAGAACTGCTTGAACCTGGGAAGCGGAGATTGCAGTGAGCCAACATCGTGCCATTGCACTCCAGTCTGGGCGACAAGAGCAGAACTCCATCTGAGAAAAAAAAAAAAATCTATTATCTGATCAATGTTCCTTTGTAGGTGACCTTTCTCTGAAAGATTTCTAAGATTGTTTTTGATGCTCTTATTTGCTCTATAATGCATACAGGTATAGGGAATTTCTTGTTTTCTGTTTAACAGTTAACAAATGAGGTCTTTTTTTTTTTTTAAGTAAGAAACAAGGTATCGCTCTGTTGCTAGACTGGAGTGCAGTGACGCGATCTCGGCCACATGATCCACTAGCCTCAGCCTCCCAAACTGCTGGGATTACAGGCACCACTGCGCCCGGCCTCATTTATTTCTTTAATTCTAGGAAACAGTATTTTTTTTAATCCAGTGTATTCGCTTGGTTTTTCTAGCTTTATTACTGCTTTGTTTCCAACATGCTGTTATATAGTGGTGACAAAACAAACAAGATGCTCAATCTCATGGAAATTATGAGGCAGACAGATTAGCAACAGTGGGATATTTTGCAGGGGAGAGGGAGACCATACATTCTAGGTGAAATGTGAGCTAAGACCAAATTAGCAAGCAGCTATCATGCACGTATCTGAGTGAGGAACACAGCTAAACGTCAATTCCAAACAATAACGAATTGATCAATGATGAATTTAATCTCAGAGTTGCTGGATGCCTCTCTTCAGGTCTGCTCAGACCTCAATTTTCCAATCTTGTCCCCCAAGAAAAAGATTAAACCTGTCTTGTGCTGAGTAGTGTAATATTCCAGTACGGCTTCTCTTGCGCCCTAGTGCTAGTACGAAGAGAAATCAATGAAAAATGTAGAAACAAGTTTGAGTACAATAGGAACAGGAAAAAGCAAAGCTTCTTGCCACGCCATGCTCCCAAATGTGCCTGTGTCTGATTCTCAGCACTAACTACTCATGTGAGACATCTCAACTTGATAAAACATTAAAATGGATTTTTGTCTCACACCATTCAAATACCCAGACAGAATAATTTTAGTGTTCAGTGGCACTTCCAAATCCTAACTCAAGTACAGTAATAAATGGTAGAGACTTAAGAGAGGCAAGATATACATGTAACTGATCTGGTCTCACGAGGGATTCTCTTACGATGTATTTCATCTACAGTAAGAGAAATCATCTTATTAACATTCCCCAAACTTCATTACTTAACACACCTATCATAGTTTTTGCTATGCAGAATTAATCCATGGTAATACGGATTATGAAAGTGAATCACCCTGAGATGGGGTTATTAACTAAAAGGGCAAAGAGAAGCTAATGAAATGCTAATGTGGATGGTAAAGTGGTGGATATATACTGGGCGCAGTGGCTCATGCCTGTAATCCCAGCACTTTGGGAGGCCAAGGTGGGTGGATCACCTGAGGTCAGGAGTTCGAGACTAGCCTGACCAACATGGAGAAACCTCATCTCTACTAAAAATACAAAACTCGCCGGGCGTGGTGGCACATGCCTGTAATGCCACCTACTCGGAAGATGGAGGCAGGAGAATCGCTTGAACCTGGGAGGTGGAAGTTGCAATGAGCCAAGATCGCACCACTGCACTCCAGCCTGGGCAGTAAGAGCGAAACTCCATCTCAAAAAAAAAAAAAAAAAAAAAAAAAAAAAGAGGTGGATACAGACAAAAAGTGTAAATCAAGCTAGCGCTTGCAAGATGTTTATATTGTACTGAAAGAAAATTGTGGGCTGGGTGCGGTAGCTTATGCTATTGGGAGGCCAAGACAGGAAGATTGCTTGAGGCCAGAAGTTGCAGCCGCCAGAAGTTGCAACAGTTTGCAAACAAGGCTTTAAAAAAATTTAAAAAAACACCTCAATTCTACAAAAAAATTTAAAAATTAGCCAGGAGTACTGGCACACGTTTGCAGTCCCAGCTGCTCAGAAGGCTCAGTGAGAGGATCCCTCAAGCCCAGGAGTTGGAGGCTGCAGTGAATTATAATCACGCTACTGCCTGGATGACACAGTGAAGAAAAAGAAAAAAAAAAACTAAAAAACTGCCATATCTGTGTTATGACTATACTGTTTTACAAATAACATTTCTTTTTAAAATGAAAAAAGAAATGAAAGAGACCTTTCTTTGACCACTTTAATTGTATGAGTTGTGGTAGACAGTATTTAGCATGACAACCACTCATATATTATTTTAAAAATGTCCTAAAATACCTTAGAGAAGAGCAACAGTTCACATGCTACTCTTTTAGGGTGCTGTAAGAAAGACAGTGAAGGATATAGAAGAATTTAAAGTGCTAAGACTCAGGAAGACATAAAAGATACAGTGACATGCTTGCAGGGCCAATCTATAATTAGGCTAAAGGATATGTAAGATTTCTAAAAAGGACAATAGGAAAAATTATTAACAAGTTCATACTGTCTTTAGACCTCATTTATCCTCAAACTGGAAACTGTGGAATAAGTTTTAAGAATACATTTCAACCAAATGTAAATAAATTTATAAACATATTCTAGACTAATTTAAATAGAAATTCAGAATGAAATAATTCTTTGAAATAAAGACTACGGAACTTAAAACTATCAGAAGCACTTAATGTTCTTAATGTAAAAATTAGGGCTTTGTAGGCTTCTTATAAAATCTTACCTCAGGCCACGCAGTGGCTCACGCTTGTAATCCCAGCACTTTGGGAGGCCGAGGTGGGCAGATCACCTGAGATCAGTTCGGGACCAGTCAGGCCAAGATGGTGAAACCCTGTCTCTACTAAAAATACAAAAATCAGTTGGGTGTGGTGGCATGCACCTGTAATCCCAACTACCCAGGAGGCTGATGCAGGAGAATCGCTGGACCCCGCTCGGAGGCAGAGGCTGCAGTGAGCCGAGATCACGCCACTACACTGTAGCCTAGGCGACAGAGCAAGACTCCGTCTCAAAAAAACAAGACAAAAAAAAAACTTATCTAAAATTGCTAAGACTAAAAAAATCATATACCATTGCTAAGACATTGATGAAAGATTTCATCACACGTTTGCTTGGAAATGTTCAAGTACCACCTTTACCATACCTCTTAACACCTTCAAAATATGGAATAGTGACTCACTAAAGAAATAAAGCCAAAAAGTATTTTTTATACTTTGATCAGGTTCTCAAAGATAAGGCCTAGTTTAAGAATAATTTTTCATGTAAGACAAGACAGGGAGTATTTGTTTCTACATCATGAAATGAGTCCATCTATTCCCCTCTGTCCCTTACTAAAATCTGGAAACTAAATGACTGTAAAAAATGAAACAGGTGTTAAACACCCCCAGACAATAAAATAGAAGCAATGGCAAAGCAAGATTTTGGGAACTGAAAAATAAATGGATCAGTGTTAACTGACTCAATAGACAACAGAAATGAAAGTATCAGTGTTAGATAGAGGTTTTCACTAAAAAACCCAGAAGTGGTTGAAAGAAGAGTCAAACACCATGGCCCCATACCTCCCTGTAAAGTAATTACCACTCCCCCTCACAGTGTAAGAAATGTCACGACTAACTCACTGAAAAGGGTGAATCAGTCTGGAATAGGGGAATCCACATATAGACAGGGTAGAGTATTTTACTGAAAACTGAGGAAGTCTACATTTTGAACAGTAAAATCTCTAATACACTGTCCCTCCTCCTCACCCCAAAAGAAAACTGGCAAAGTACATATACTCACACAGGACAAGTGATTAGAGAATTTCTCTCAGATATATATGTACATATTCTCTCTCATATACATATACTGACAATTGGGTGACCCTCAAATAAATGGTCTAGTGAAATCACACTGGAGTAAAATCCACCTGTTGAGAACCCTCATGCATGGAGCTTAGAGAGATTTCTTCTAGCTCTTAAATTTGAGGAACAGTAAATGATCCCAAGGCATTTGAAGAAGCATCAAAATAAAAGACAGACTAAACTTTAAAAAGGGAAGAATCATTTAATGAAACAAGACTATGCAGATGGGGGAAAGAAATTTTGTTACGAGTTCTAGGCAGAAGTGCTAGTGGTGGTGGCTCATACATATAATACCAATGCTTTGGGAAGCAAACATAGGAGGACCCTCTGAGAACAGGAATTCAAGACGAGCCTGGGCAACATAGCAAGACCCTGTCTCAAGAAATTTTTTTTTTTTTTTTAAATTATCTGGGCATAGTGTCACATGCCTGTAGCCAAGATATTCTGAAAGCTGAGATGGGAAGATGGCTTGAGCCCAGAAATTCAAGAATGTAGTGAGCTATAGTTGCACCACTGCTCTCCAACCTGGACAACAGCAAGACCATGTCTCATTCAAACAAAAAAATTCTAGGCAGAGAAGGGACCACACATTCAAAAGACAAAACCCTCCAAGAAATCATTCTAAAAAATCCCCATGAATTAAAAGACAGATTTTCAGACTGAGCTGATTCAAGAGTAAAACAAAACAAAAATAAGATACACAACATAAAGATGGGCATGGTGTCACATGAGTGTAGTCCACATTACTTGAGTGACATAGGGGGAAAGATAACTTGAAACCAGGAATTCACAAGTCTGTGCAACATAGCAGGAGTCTCTTTAAAAATGAAAAAAAAAAAGAAAAAAAAAAAAGACCCATACCAAGACACATCACTGTGTTATTAATTTAGAATACAAAAGACAAAGAAACACTGGAAGCTCACATTAACAAAAGGCTGGTTCCCCCCACCTTCAACAGACTGGAAATCAAAGCAGCATTCGGGCCAGGTGCAGGAGCTCACACCTGTAATCCCAGCCCTTTGGGAGGCCAAGCCGGGGGGAATTGCTGGAGCCCAGGAGTTCAGGACCAGCCTGGGCAACATGGTGAGACCCTGTCTCCACAAAAAATTAAAAATTTAGCAGGGCATTTGGTGCATGGCTGTGGTCCAAACTAAATTGGTGGCTGAGGCAGGAGGATCACTTGAGCCCGGGAGGTCAAGGCTGCAGTGAGCTGTATTCATGCCTAGGTGACAGAATGAGACCCTGTCTCAAAAAAAAAAAAAAAAAAAAGGAACCATTAATTTTCTCTCCCACAACACTGGAAGTTCTGAGACAACACAACAACTTTCGAAATTCTGAGAAGATAATAATTCCTACTCTAAAATCCCAAACCAGAACTATCCATCAAATATAAGAATCCAACAAAAATACAGCCAGATATGCGAGTTCTCAAAAAATTCATTTCCCTTGAATTCTTTTCTTGGGAAAACACAAGACAACATAATCCATCAAAGTGAGCGAGTAAACCAAGGAGGAAAAAAAGTTAGATCCAGCCAGGCGCAGTGGCTCACACCTGTAGTACCAACACTTTGGGAGGCCGAGGAGGGTGGATCACCTGAGGTCAGGAGTTCGAGACCAGCGTGGCCAACATGGTGAAACCCTGTCCCTACTAAAAATACAAAAATTAGCTGGGCATGGTGGTGGGCGCTTGTAATTCTAGCTACTCAGGAGGCTGAGGCAGGAGAATAGTTTAAACCTGGGAGACAGAGGTTGCAGTGAGCCGAGATCAAGCCATTGCACTCCAGCCTGGGCAACAAGAGTGAAACTCTGTCTTAAAGGAAAAAAAAAGGGGGGGGGGGGGAGACACAAGACACAGTAAACAGTAATTCCAAAACATGAAACAGCCAACAGGAATACCCAGGAGTATGGTAAAGGAAGGTTCCAGATGGAATCAGTTCTACAGTCCAAACTAGAAGAATGTTCCAGGGAGTAGAGGTGATGGGATATATTTGGAGGGGGAGGTTTATTACTGAATCATGAGATCTGTTTTAATATACTGAGGGGCTTATATTTCCAGAGTGATTAGATATAAATTACTGGTAGGTAAAAAACAGTTAAGTATTAACTTCAGGGAGAAAAAAAAAGCTGCACAAGAATGAAAATAAAATCACAGCATATTCCATGGCTTATCTAAAGCTTTAATAATACTTACACAGCCATAATAAAAGTAATTATTGAGCCAATCAAAAGTTATATAACTACACTAAAAAGATGTAAGGGATCATTATTTCATGTTGAAGTGGTGAGAGGTGGTAGGAATGCAGGCTTTTCAAGAAGGTATTTCTAAGAATTTTTAAGCATTTGCTCTTAAATATGAGGAACAGTAAATGATCCCAAGGCATCTGAAGAAACATCAAAATAAAACACTAAACTAAGGGGAAAATCAAATGAAACAGACTATGTGGGGGGTGGCGGGGGGTGGGGGCAGAGACATGACGACTTTTATAGAAAGTAGGCTGGGCGCATTGGCTCAGGCCTGTAATCCCAGCACTTAGTCCGAGGCAGATGATCAGTTGAGGTGAGGAGTTCGAGACCAGCCTGGCCAACATGGTGAAACCACGTTTCTACTAAAAATAAGAAAATTAGCCAGGTGTGGTGGCGCACACTTCTAGTCCCAGCTACTCGGGAGGCCAAGGAATGAGAATCACTTAAACCCGGGGGGCAGATGTTGCAGTGAGCCAAGATCACACCACTGTACTTCAGCCCAGGTGACGAAGTGAAACTGTTTATAAAAAAAAAAAAAAAAAAAGCCAGATGTGGTGGCTCACGCCTGCAATCCCAGCACTTTGGGAGGCCAAGGCGGGCAGATCACAAGGTCAGGAGTTGGAGACCAGCCTTACCAACATGGTGAAACCCAGTCTCTACTAAAAATATAAAAATTAGCCAGGCATGGTGGCATGCACCTGTAACCCCAGCTGCTCAGGAGGCTGAGGTAGGAGAATCGCTTGAACCCGGGACACAGAGATTGCAGTCAGCTGAGATTGCACTACTGCACTCCAGCCTGGGCGACAGTGCGAGACTCAAAAAAAGGGGAAAAAAAGGAAAGAAAGAAAAAGTACAGGCAACAAGATTTCCTTTAGAATCAGACATGAAATATGAGGGAAGGAAGAGAAGAATGACTCTAAGATTTTTGGTTTAAATAACTGGAAGAATAAAGTTGTCATTTATTGAACTAAGGAAAATGCAAAAGAAGTAAATTTGGATTAAACAAGATGAAAAGTACAGATATAGTTATCAAGCACCTAGTAAACAGTCGGATATGTGAATCTGGAATTCAGGAGAAAGGTTCTGGCTGGAGATATAAATTTGAGTCACCAGCACAGTTCCCATTAAAGAAATGAAGACCATCAAGGGAATCCCAAACTAGGCTTAGGATATTTCAATGTTTAGAGGATAGAAAAGGAAACAGCAAAGGAAACTGAGAAAAGAGTCAGAGAAATAGGAAGAAAAAGCAGGAAAATATGTTTCCTAGAAGCCAAATAAAGTAAATGTTTTAATGGAGAAGAGTCAACAACTGTATGAAATGCTGCTAATAGATCAAGTAAAATGAGGTCACTGACGTCACGAGACCTTAAAAATACCAGCTCCAATGGAAATGAATATCTGATTGGAATGGGTTCAGAAAAAACAGAACAAACTAAAAACAATGAATACAGGCAAGGAGTTTTGCTATAATAGAACTCTTTTTCAAGGAGCTTTGTTATAAAAGAAATGAGACATTGCAATTGGCTCAAGCTACGACAAACAATATATCCGCAGTATATAATAAAGGGCAGATGGGGACAGATGGGCACAGATGCTAGGTTTACAGATGCAACGGTGACAACTTTTAAAGATTCTTTTCTGACTGCGTCTATTTTCTCAGGGCAATAGGGAGCAAAGTGAGAGGGAGGAGATATGAGACGTGCAATGACAGAGTAAAACTATGAAACCAGTCATTTAGGACAATGTAACAGGAAAGACTGGGTCACTAAGGACAAGATCACGAGTTTCAAGCAAGCCTAGGTCAGCATGCTTATGTAATGGGTTAACATTTTGACTTAAAAAACAAATAAACCTGCTCTATAGTCTTTTATTTAACCAAATGTTCTATCTGAAGTTTTTCTTCACCACCAAAGAACTTATCCATGTAACCAAAACCCACCTGTACCTCAAAACGATTAAAATAAAAATTTAAAAGAAAAGACCTGTGCCAATAGGACACAGGGAAAAAAAATTAAGTTTTTCTTAAGTGACGGTTCCATTATCCTTAACAGATCATCTGATCTGCATTTGAATATACATGGCAACAGCAATATTTTTCCATGAAATAAACACTAACACAGAAATGTATGGCTTATGGAGTATGTCCCCTCTCCAGGGTACATTCAGGATTTCTCTTCCTCATTGTCTGATATCCTTTCACACAGGGTCTAAATTGTGCCTCTTTTGGCCTTTATGCTGTTCTATTACAGATTGTGCATTACTTACATATTCCTAAGGCCTATTCTCTTATATTTGGTTCTAGTTAACCCACTACTATAAATTTTCAGGGTCTGTCTTGTTTTGCATGATACACTACCATTTCCAATTTCTAGTCGTTTCTCAAGACCCTAAAGTTTCATTCAGAAACTTCTCTTGTGCTAACACAATGTCCACTTGAAATCTCTATATGACACACTCCTATAGTACTAGTGAATGAAACCAAGAAAACAAAATAACCAAATCCTACCGACAGCCAAGTCTTTTGCTATTATTGCACCTAAGCTATTCCTGAAGAAATAATTTAATGAGATCATCTTATAAGGAACATTTATTTGGTAAACTATCTCATAGAAATAGACTCTAAAATCAAACAGTTTCTTAAACAACAGAGAGCATAATCCCAATCTCTCCCCATGAAAAGCCTACTTCATAACTGAAGTACCTAAAGCCCATGAACTGCATTACTAGAAGAAAGGAGGGAAAAAGACATTTACTAAACTTCCACAGGAAGACTGTATAAATCTGGAAGTGGTTAAGTACACATCAGCCTGTATCCAAGAATACTACTCAGTCTCAAAAATTAACTGAAAATCTAAACTTAATATGGATACTTCTTTGTTCTTGGTAAGGCTCAGAAAATTACCATCTATTTAAGTACGCATGGTACTAGTTACATGTCAACTGATATAATAAAAAAGGTGAAGTGGACAATCAGTATTTCAAACCCAATACAGGGAAATCACTAGATGTAAATAAGAACTTTTAAAAGCTATTCTTGAGCTCCACTTTAAAACAAACATTCAGGACTGGAATCTTCAGAATTTTCTAATATCTTGAATATCCCCATCTTCTCTTTAATTGGTCCTGAAGCATTCATTTGATCTAAGGGAAAAACATTAAAACAGGTACATTTTAGAAGTATAAGAAGAAGAAATCGTAAAAGAAACATCCAATATGATGTTATGAGAAGTGAGTCATCTGTCCAAAATTATAAAACTCACAGTAATACAGGGCACTCTCTTCCTTAATCACCAAGATTTAATAGCAGTGAAAGCAAAAAGGTACACTATTCTTAATACAACAACTAGAATCAGACTCTTGGGAGCATACAATCTAAAGCATCAGTTTGCTAGTCAAAATCGCTTTTGCTGAATTTAAGGTAAGATAAACAAGTCAAAGAGCAATAAATAATATCAATTTGAATCATGTTGTCAGAAACGTTTTAAAAAGAGGCCCAATCACGATTCGTTTAATAGCTGAAAACACACCACAAAAAGCTTACCTTGAGAAACATTTTGAATCAATGACAATATGTAGTCTCCTAAATTTTTATCAACATGACAGCTGTGAAATGAAATCTGATTTTCATTTGTATTACTGATTTCTAATCATCCTTGTCTGTTCATCAGACATTTCTTTCTCTCTTGGTAATAGCCTGCTCTTATATTATCCGTTTTCATTATCAACTTTTATTTACTTGCATATCCTAAACACTTCCTGTTATATGTTGCAAATATTATTTGTGGTTTGTCTCTTATCTCTTTATGGTGTCATCTGTCTTATAGTAGTCTTTCCTATTAATGTAATTAAAATCTATGAAACCTATCATATAATTTGTGATTTCTGTATTATAAAGAATTCTAATTCTAAAATCATAAATATATTTTCTTGTCTTTTTAGGTTAAAATTCTACCTTTAATATTTAGGTTTTGAACACGTGGATTGTTAATTTATCTGAAGTTTGTAAGTGCAGTGTGAGGAGAGGAGAATCTAAGTTAATTTTTCCCCTATTAATTACTATTTCCCCAGATCATCTATTGATTAATAGGAATTTCCTATCAGTTGTTTGAAGTTCCATTTCACATTTATTAGCTTTTCGTGAAAGTTGTCTTTCTAGATTCACCATATTGTACTTCTAGCCAATATATCACACCATGTGCTAATTCTACCATCTTGATTATTATGACTTTTAAATTTTTAATAAGACTTTATACCTGGTATAGAATATCTTGTGCTTCAAAACTGTCTTGGTTCTGGCCCTTTATTACTCTCTCATATAAATTTTAACAACAGTCTGTTTTACAAAAAGTCATTCTGGGATTTTTTTTTTTTTTTTTAAGAGACAGAGTCTCGCTCTGTCACCCAGGCTGGAGTGCAGTGGCACAATCTCCATTCACTGCAACCTCCACCTGCCAGGTTCTAGCAATTCTCCTGCCTCAGCCTTCTGAGTAGCTGGGATTATAGGCACATGCCTCCATGCCCCGCTAATTTTTTCTATTTTAGTAGAGACAGGGTTTCACCGTGTTGCCCAGGCTGGTCTCTAACTCCTGAGCTCAGGCAATCCACCTGCCTCAGCCTCCCAAAGTGATAGGATTATAGGCATGAGCCACCACACCCAGCCATCATTCTGGGATTTTAATTAGAAGAAAAATTCAAGAATATAAGTTAGTTTTGGGGACCACTGACTTACACTTTGTAGTAACCATTCATATCCACAAATACAGCTAAATCTGCATGTTTACTCAGTCTTTCTATTAACGTCCTTCAATGTTTCATAATTCTGTCCTTATATAAACATGTTAAAAATTGTTAAACTTTAATTGTAGGCATGTTAATTTTGTAGCTGTTGTAAAAACCTTCATTATTAAACAATTATTGCTGTTACACATATTATTAATAAGCAATCTTCTTAAATTCTATTTTAAAAGATTCTGGATTCCCTTGGACTTCCTATGAAGATAATCAAACCAGACCACTTGCAAATAAAAGCAGTTTCGATAATGCCAGCACTTTAGGAGGATGAGGCAGACAGATCACTTGAGCCCAGGAGTGTGAGACCAGCTTGAGCAACATGGCAAACCCCTGTCTCTACAAAATACACAAAACAAAATTAGCAGGACATAGTAATCACACCTGCAGTCCCAGCAACTTGGGAGGCTGAGGTGTGGGGATTGATTGAGCCCAGCAGGTTAAAGCTGCAGTGAGCCATGATCACACCACTGAACTCCAGCCTCGGTGACAGAACGAGACTTTGTCTCAAATAAAAAAAAATTATGAAGATGATTACGATATTATGGCAAGTTGGTTTTTGGTATCTAATTAGGTGATCATCTAGTTCTCCATTATTTAATTGATATGAATTATATTATCAGATGTTAAACAGTCCTTACATGCCTCACATAATGTTGTTTTTTAATATAGTTTAGATTTGACCATGATGCTGTATGTCTCATATTTCTCCCTAAACTATTTCAAAGTTAAAACTCAAATAAACATGCAAATAATCCAGAATATCTAAAACAATTTTGAAAAAGAACAAAACTAGAGAAAGTACACTTCCCATAAAGCTACCTTAATTAAATCAGTGCGATACTGGCATAGGAATACCACAGAGATCAATGGGACAGAATTGAGAATACAGAAATAAATCCTTATATTTATGATCAAATTATTTGCATCAAGGATGACAAGGCCATCCAATAGAAAAAGGATCATCTTTTTAACAAATTAATATTGACATGCAAAAAGATGAAAATTCATTGAAAATAGATCATAGATCTAAATGTAAGAGCAAAAACTATAAAACTATTAAAAGAAAATATCAACACCTTGAATTAGGCAAAGAGTAGTTACAGATGACATAAAAATCATGAGTGAACAGAAAAAAATTTGTTAAAATTGAAATTCATTAAAATTTAAAACTTTTGCTCTTCAGAAGATACTAAGTAAGTAAGTGAAGAGACAGGCCAGAGTAGAAGAAAATGTTTGGAAAATACATCTGATTAAAAAAAAAAAAAAAAAAACTTCCAACCAATATATTTTATTTTGATTCAATAAGACACAGAATTGAATTTTAAAATGAACAACATATTTGAAAATAAGATATCATGACACTGTAGCCAGTGCCACGCAGGTAAATGTTTAACAATTGGGTCTCAAAAAAAACAAAAACTGAGGCACAATGGCTCATGCCTATAATCCCAGCTTACTCCAAAGGCTGAGGCTGGAGGATCCCTTGAGCCCAGGACTTTTAGGCTGCAATGAGCTATAGTCGCACTCCTGCATTCTAGCCAGGAATACAAAGCAAGACCCTTTTTTGTTAAAAACAAAGACTGGGGTTTCTAGTTTCTGCCTGTATCCGTGATATGAATGTTACTGCCATCACCAATTTCAAAAGACCAAAATGTCACGGAATACAGTTGGGAAAAAAAGATTATACAGTATCTCCACCATACAGATGCAACAGACAAATAATCAATAGCCTAGACGACAGTAATATGTTGTAAAATAATTAGGAAATTATGAAGTACAAAATATTATTTTTGTTTTCAAAATAATTCATGGTCATCACTGTAGGCATCAGATCATAAGGTGGTATTCTAAAAACTGATAAAAAAAAAAAAAAGAAGCAATATATCCTGGCTCTCTTCTATCTCAGGGAAACTGTAAGGGAAAGTTCTTAAATAACCCAGCTAATAAAAGAATGACAGAACAAGAAAAATCACCATTTTGCAATGATTAAGTTAATAATGGTTCTTATCAGCCACTTTCAAGGGATACTAAAAATCACCACGTTAGGCTTGGTGCAGTGGCTCATGCCTGTAATCCCAGTGCTTTGGGAGGCTGGGGTGGGCACAACACCTGAAATCAGGAGTTCAAGACCAGCCTGGCCAACATGGCGAAACCCTGTCTCTACTAAAGATACAAAAATTAGCCAGGTGTGGTGGCAGGCGACTGTAATACTAGCTACTAGGGAGGCTGAGGCAGGAGAATCCCTTGAACCCAGGAGGCTGAGGTTGCAGTGAGCTGAGATCGTGTCAGCGCACTCCAGCCTGGGCGACAGGGCAAGACTCTGTCTCCAAAAAAATAAAATAAAATAAAATAAATCATCGTGTTAAGTAAAGGATGAAGGCTGACAAGACACTTTATAACATTATCTTGATTAATCTTAGCTCACTGGAAATAAGAAATCCAGATACGATGTGCCTCCTGGTATGACGAAAAATATGAGAACAAAGCACTGGTATTCTTAACTAAGACAGGAACTTGAATATATTCATTTACAAGTGTTATTTACCAGTTTACAGAAAATATCTGAATTATGGAAGAAGTTAAAGATAATGACATTTATGGGCAAAATGTCATGTCTGAGATTTGATTTTAATACTCTAAGAAGAAAAATGACAATAAAACAAGATTGGATACATGTGGCTGAATGAATTGCACAAGGGGTTCATTACATTATGCTAATTAAGTGTATGTTTCGAAGCTTCCATTAAAAAAAAGCATAATACTTACCAATAAGATCACTTCGATCTAACAACAACTCTAGATCTTTATCACTAATGACCTTCTCTCTTGATCCTTTTATTTCCCTATAGAAAACAAAATATTCAAGTCTATGTGAATAATTCAAAGCTACAAATTAAATCTTTCTAAAATTAAAAACTCACCTTTCATAATCTCTAGATTTTAATAATTCCATTAATTCCTTAGGATCTAAGAAATTCTTAGACAGATTTAATCCAGACTGACCACCTTTGAAATGATCTAAAAAAAATGAGAAATTAAAAACATTAAAATTCCTTTTAAAACTACAATACAACATATTACAAACCAATCACAATGGCTTGCATTAAGAAGGACGGCAAAAAAAAGTGTTGATAAAAAATAAAAGCAAATGAAGCTCTCAGGCTTCGCTGGTAGGACTGGAAAATGATATGTCCACTTTGGAAAAGGCTGGTAGTTTCCAGTAGTTAAACACGCACCCTCCCTAAGATCAAGGACCAAAAAATGCATTATGTCCACAAAGACTTGTACAGGACCAACTTATTCATAATAACCAGAATCTAGAAATAATTTAAATGTCGACCAACAGGAGAATGGAAAAAACAAACTATTCACCAATTAAAAGAAAAAAATTCTACTAAAAACAACACAGATGACTCTGTGTTGAAAAAATATATTCAACAAAATAGCTAAACAGAAAAAAGACTCATCAGTGTGACAAAAATCAGAATACTGGATGCTTCCTAGTGATGGTAAGGGGAGCATAGGAATTACTGGAAAGGGTGAACAAAGAAAATTTCTTGGATGATGAAAATGCTACCTTGATCTCGATGATAGTTACATAGGAGTACATAAATCTGGTCAAACTTCATTAACCTGTACATTTAAGATCTGTGCATTTTGCTGTATGTATGTAATAACTCAACTGAAAAATGTCAGCATTTAAAAAAATCCCTTCAAAATTTTCTACAAAATTAATCTACTAAAAAATCGAAAATAGGGCTGAGCACAGTGGCTCACACCTATAAGCCCAACACTTGAAGAGGCTAAGGCAGGAGGATCACTTGAGTCCAGGTGTTCGAGAACAACCTGGGTAAAAAAGTTAAATGGTCTCTTAAAAAAAAATTATGCTTTTTCCCCAATGCAAGTTCCAATTACAATCTAAATGTTTCACCAAATTAATTTTGTCTAAACCTTAATACACTCTTACCTCAAAACCCAGAGAAAGTATTTACAAGTGGAAAAGGAGTATAAAATAAATTATTAGTGATTTCCAACATTACTTTTCACATTAACATTATCATGTTCCCATTTCTCTAGGGCTTGATGATTTACATAAATGATTTTCAACATTTCTTCAGGTAGCTATCAAGCCATTTATTCAAAGAAAATTTTATGGTGAATGGATAGAAGTATAACTTCTCTAAGGAATCTCAGGAACAAAACTTTTTCACCTATGTCAGTTCCCCACCTCCTCAGAATTTTTTCTAGATTAAAAAGCATTGTTGAGACCCATCTGGTTATGATAAGGAAATGAAAAAGGAAAAAAAAGTGTCCAAAACTATAAAAAGGGCATTCTGCAGTGAAATATTCTGTGAAACAGTGGGTTCAATAAATAAATAGATTTTTTATAACACTTAAATACACTTAATATTTTAATACATGGAACTTGCAAAATATTTATCTTAAAACTTTTAGCAAGCCAATCTCTTATCAGGAACATGTAGTTATCCTTGACCCCTTTTCTCTGCCCATCTGCTCTTCATCTACATATCTACATACTCGCTAACATTCTTTCTTTTATGTCTATGGTGACCAACTTAGTTTAGGCTCCCAAATTCCCCACTGCTTATTTAAATCCTGTCATATCAGGCTGTTAATATTTTTTTTTTTGAGACAGAGTCTTGTTCTGTTACCCAGGCTAGAGTGCAGTGGCACGATCTCGGCTCACTGCAACCTCCTCCTCCCGGGTTCAAGCGATTCTCCTGCCTCAGCTTCCTGAGTAGCTGGGATTACAGGCGCCCGCCACCGAGCCCAGCTAATTTTTGTATTGTTAGTAGAGACGCGGTTTCACCATCTTGGCCAGCCTGGTCTCGAACTCCTGACCTCGTGATCCACTCACCTTGGCATCCCAAAGTACTAGGATTACAGGTGTGAGACACAGAACTCGGCCCAGGCTGTAATATTTTATAAACAAAATAAAAACAAAATCCACAACACACAATGCACAATTTAAACAATAAAGCACTACATAAGTGTTATTTACTTTTATGGATGATCAACTTTTCCAGTTTCCTTTTAGCAGCTGCTCTTTCCACAATTTTCTGATCGATAGTATTTGCTGTAACAAGGCGATAAACAACAACTGGCTTTGTCTGACCAATTCTATGACATCTATCCTGGGCCTGAAGATCCGACTGGGGGTTCTTAAAGTTAAAAAGAAAAATAATATTTAACGGTATTAGGTTAAAATTAACATAAACTCATGTGGATAAAGTCAACATGAATGATCTAGCCAGGAACTTTTAAATAGTGGTGTCTTAATTTAAACTTCCAGAGTGGCTTCATAGACAAAATTATCATTCCACAGATCCTTGACAATATTAACAAAAAAGTTTAAATACCCTAAAGAAAACATTTCAGGATGGGCACGATGACTCACTCCTATAATCTCAGCATTTTGGGAAGCCAAGGCAGGAGGATCATATGAGGATACAAGACCAGCGTGGGCAAACAGTGAGACGTGGTCTCACTAATTTTTACATTTTTTGTGGGCATGGTAGCACACCCATAGACCCAGCTACTTGAGAGAATGAGGTGGGAGGATCACTTGAATCCAAAAGGTCAAGGCTACTGAGCCGTGATGGTGCCACTGCACTCAAGCCTGGGTGATAGTGAGACCCTGTCACTAAAAACAAAAGTAAAAAAAAATTTTCAATTTTTACTTGCAAAAAACTTTATGAAGAAATAACTCTTAGCTGAAAATGGGTATCTTTTCAAAATAGATAAGTAAATTTGTAACATGTACCATTAAAAATTAAAAATTCAGAATGGCCGGGCGCGGTGGCTCATGCTGGTAATCCCAGCACTTAATCCCAGCCTGGGCAACAAGAGCAAAACTCCTTCTCAAAAAAAAAAAAAAAAAAAAATTCAGAATGGAGGCTGGGTGTGGTGGCTCAAGCCTGTAATGCCAGCACTTTGGGAGGCCGAGGTGGGCGGATCACCTGAGGTCAGGATTCAAGAGAGCCTGGCCAACATGGCAAAACCCCGTCTCTACTAAAAACACAAAAATTAGCCAGGCATTGTGGTGTACACCTATAGTCACAGCTACTCAGGGGGCTGAGGCAAGAGAATCACTTGAACCCAGGAGGTGAAGGTTGCAGTGAGCCGAGATCGTGCCACTGCACTCCAGCCTGGGCAACAGAGTGAGACTCCATTTCAAAAAAAAAAAAAAATTCAAAATGGAAATATAATCAGCATATTCCTTGCTATACTTCCAACTTACCCAATCACTATCATAAATGATAACTGTATCTGCTGCAGTCAGATTAATGCCCAGGCCACCAGCTCGTGTACTCACTAAGAAGATAAACACCTCTGGATCCGTGTTGAAGCTGTGCATCTAAAAGCAAAAAGGATGTAAATACAACAGATTAAAATAAATTAACCAACAAGACTGAAGGAGAAAAATGTTTTCAATTACAACTATTAAAGACTTAAACAAAGGAGGCCAAACAAATCATTCAGATCTATAAAACAATTATGTTAACAAAACCTGTGCTGTTAGCTTTATCGTCCAAGCACCTATATTAAAGAGATCTTAATTTTGTTAAAAACCATGTATCACAACAATGTTTAAATAAGAAAAGCTAATATCAAAAAATGATGAAAAAATTGTAGTTGTCTAAACACATGGGGTGGGTGCAGGGGAGAATTGACTAGAAGGGGGCACAGGAAACTTTCTGGGCTGATGGTAACATTCTATATCTTAATAGGGGTTAGGTATAAATTTACATATGCATTTGTCAGAAAGATTCAGCAAATGTATACATTATTTGCTTCAGTATGTGTAAATTTTACCCCAAAAGATAAAATATGCTGAAGTCATTACGGAAAAGGGTAGTATCATCTATATTTTATTTTTAAATGCACCAAAAAACCAGGATTAAATGCTGAATGGATACAGCAAGGCTGCTATTACAGGAAATGTGTTTTTAAAAAGGTATAGTCAAATGTTAACAGCAGATTGTAGGCGGATTTACAGTTGCTTTTTTTTTTTCAACTTTGCCATATAGTTGATATTTTCATAATAGAAAGTTGAGGACAGGGCAAAAAGGCAAAAAATTTCCTGCTATCCCAATATTCTTACAGTGATGGTTAAGTAGGATATTATTAATAAGATTGTGCCAGAAGATATATATATTTGTGAATCAAAAATTAAGACTTCTTAGTACTAAATCAAAATGTTTGTTTTTGATAAAACCACAGGGTTTCTGGTCATTTCTATCTTTTTATCAATTTGTGGGTCTATTTGGAATATTACTTCAGAAATCAAGATAGGAATTATAAAAGAATAGTTTGGTATGTATGACATAAGTAGTCTTACGTTTTTTTCTCTCTCTGAGTAAGACATGGACCCATCAAGCCTGCTGAAGTTGAAATCTCTGAGATGGCAGTAATCCATCAAAATGTCCAACATGCTTGTCATTTGTGAAAAAAGCAGCACCTGAAATTAAACATATCTTAATATTTCTAATGATTGATAAAAAAATAATTGAACAATCCAAAATTCCAATCAAAAGTACCACCTTGTGACCTCTTTTTTTTAGTTCTGGCAGCATTCGATCCAAAATCAAGAACTTCCCAGAATTTGTTACCAATTCTTCATCGATCTTAAGGAGGGGCAAAGGAAGAAAAAATAGAGAGAAAACTGTTATTTGCTTTGTTAAAACAAAAGCCATTTGGAAAGTTCAATTTTCAAAGCCAAGTCACTTAAAAAACTTAAAAACTGACCTGTTATTCAATCTTTGTAAAATCAGAAGATAGTTATTACTCAAAGACATACTCTAGAATGTAAAACCAGCAATTTCACAAAAACAAAGTACAAATATAACTTTGATCTAACCTCAACACTCCTCTCTCAAAGTCATTGTGAAAGAAAACAATTATGTCAAACTTAATGGGTACATACTCAGGCTTATTCTTTATAAGTGAGTTATTTCCAACTAAATGTATATGTAAACTACTGCTAGAATTCTTACCAGAAATTAAGAGAAAATACAGGAGCTGATAAGTAATCTAAATATTGTGGACAAAGACTTTTTCACCTTCTGGTGAAATTCCCTCATGAGAGAGCTACTTTCATTTGAGTGGGAAAGTTTTGTCTTCCTTCTTACTCTAATAAAGATGTAAAGCAGTGCCTCTCAAATGGGGACAATTTTGCCCTCCACCTATCCCCAGGGTATATTTGGCAGCGGCAGCAAACTTTTTAGTTGTCATAACTGAGGGAAGTGAATACTAGTGGCATCTAATGGGTAGAAGACAGGGATGCTGCTAAATGTCCTAAGTGCACAGAACATTACCTCCTAAGAAAGAATTATCTGGCCCAAAATGTCAATATTGCCAGGAGTGGAAAAGCCTATTGTAAACTACCTTGAAACAACTGTGATTGAGGGTTACTAAGAATTTATTTCTATTGATATTATGCTATCATTCTATCAACTACCCAAGAAAGCAACTTCATTTACTTAATTTGAAAACCTCCAAATCAAAACTGGTTTTATTCTATGGCTACCTGTTGATCTTTAAGCAATGAGCAACCAGGCTGATTTTGATAAGCCAAATATTAATGATAAAAGAAATAGTGAAAAGATGACCACTCTCTCTAAAATATAACAAGTAAACATGCAGAGTACAAATCAATTACTAAATTTAGAATTCTTAGTTGTTCACATAAAATATGTAAATAAAAATATAAGTTGCATAGAGGCCAAGCGTGGTGGCTCTTGCCTGTAATCCTAGCACTCTGGGAAGCTGAGGCAGGATTGCCTGAGAAACCAGGAAGTTTGAGACCAGCCTGAGAAACATAGCAAGACCCTGTCTCTATAAAAAATAAAAAAATTTAAAAAACTAGTTGCTCATAGAAAGTGACCATTTTTCTAACCCTGATAAGGTTCTCTGAAATTTCGGAAAGAAGACTGTCTCAGCTTACTGAAGGATTACAATCTTCATGACAAATAGCACCATACTTATTTTTAATAATTATAATCAAAAAAAGTAACACTTTCCACCAATATAAAAGTAATGGAAATCAAAACAGTAAATTAGAATTAAACAGTATTCACCTTAAATTCTTGTGTAACAGGGTCTATAGGATATTCAATCAAATATGGATGATTACAACATTTACGAAGTAGCATCATTATATTCTGCAGCTTCAGATTAACTTCAGATTCTACAGGGATATTCACTTCCACAACAGCTCTACCAAAACAAATAATGCATATATGGGAAATGCAAAAAATGGTCACAGTTTAAAGAATACTTAAATTCACTTTTGAATTCAAACCTTTCTCGGTCCACCTCTGGCTGTATTTGACTGATCAGTTTTTCCAATTCATTAGGGAAATCATCTATTTTGCTGTAATTTATTGATTTTCTAGTTCGTCGTTTTGGTCGACCAGTAGGACTTAACTCAATTGTTTCTTTCTAAAAGGGAACGAATTAAAAGAAATTCAGTTTATAAAGCTATGTCCTTAGGTTCTAAATGTAAACAAAATAAGGCATATTTTATGTACAAAATGACAATCTATAGACAAATACAAATGTTGTGGGAAATTAGTTTAATTTTAACATGGACAACAATATCTGAAAGTAAGAGGAAGGGCCTTCATATCTCAATAGGTAAAAATGAAGGGTGTATAAAACTACTTTGAACTTACACAAAAGGATTTAATACCTTAAAGTTGAAATATGGCTCCGGAAATTTGCAGTACAGAGGATATTTCTTCAGACTGGTGTAACACTGCATGAAACTGCTCATTATGAAATTGCTCATTAACAGACAAATAATGTAAATTTGTAAACGGCTAGACCCTTCCTTTAATTATAATTAATTATTAAAAAGGGAGAAGAGGCCGGGTACGGTGGCTCACGCCTGTAAACCCAGCACTTTCGGAGGCCGAGGCGGGCAGATCACAAGGTCAGAAGATCGAGACCATCCTGGCTACCATGGTGAAACCCCGTCTCTACTCAAAAATAGAAAAAATTAGCCAAGCGTGGTGGCGGGCGACTGTAGTCCCAGCTACTCGGGAGGCTGAGGCAGGAGAATGGCATGAACCCGGGAGGCGGAGCTTGCAGTAAGCCAAGATCATGCCACTACACTCCAGCCTGGGCAACACAGCGAGACTCTGTCTCAAAAAAAAAAAAAAAAAAAAAAAAGTCGGGGGGAGAAGAGTCTGGTGGTCCTATTGTTTAAAAATGCATCACAATAAATATTTTGAAAAGAAAATACGTAGGTTTATAGTGTACAATAAAAAACCTGGAAAGTTAAACAAAACTTAAGGGTCTCCTTCAGTTACATGATAATAACATCCCACCTCTATCTCCTATAATATGGTGGGTGATGAATAATCATCATCAAATTGATTATTAATCTTTTTGGTTATCAATAACCTTCTGTAAGGAAACTGTACAGGTAGAACATCCCTAACGGGAAAATACAAATGCTCCAATAAGCATTTCCTTTCAGTTTCATATCAGCACTCAAAGTTTCAAATTTTGGAGCAACTCAGATTTTGGATGCTCAATCTGTATATCTGGAGATTAGTCTAGTTGCCAAGTCCTTAGTACAGGGATTCTCAAATACCTACCTGTGTGCTTGTTAAAAATGCATTTCCAAGTTCATCTCCAGAAAGCATGATTAGAGTTAATCTGTACGGAAATATACATTTTTTTTTTATTTATTTTTTTTGAGACGGAGTTTCGCTCTTGCTGCCCAGGCTGGAGTGCAAAGGCACAATCTTGGCTCACCACAACCTCCGTCTCCCGGGTTCAAGTGATTCTCCTGCCTCAGCCTTCCTGAGTAGCTAGGATTACAGGCATGCGCCACCACGCCTAGCTAATTTTGTGTTTTTAGTAGAGACAGGGTTTTCTCCATGTTGGTCAGACTGGTCTCAAATTCCCGACCTCAGGTGATCCACCCGCCTCGGCCTCTCAAAGTGCTGGGATAACAGGCATGAGCCACCGTGCCTGGCCTAAATTTTTAGTAAGTATTCCAGATGACTGTAAAGCAATTAATACAAAGATTATCACTTAACATTTTAGCAGGACTCCAGATACTAGGAAACAACTTTTGCCACTAAGCCTTATGCCTTATACCCCAGTTAGAAATTCACCCAAGTCCTAAAAATGAACAAGGGGACCTTAAAACTGGAATTTAGGCCAGGCACAATTGCTAAAACCTGGAATCCCAGCACTTTGGGAGGCCAAGGTGGGTGGACTGCTTAAGCCCAGGAGTCTGAGACCAACCTGGGAAACATGGCGAAATGCCAGTCTCTACAAAAAAATACAAAAAATTTAGCCAGGCAGGTAAAGGCTGCAGTGAGCAGTGATTGTGCCACTGCACCACAGCCTGGGTGACAGAGCGACACCTTCTCTCAAAAAAAAAGGGAAAAAAGAGAAATTTTATATGTCAAGTTTCATTTACAGTACATTTCAAAACCACTATACCTCACTGGATCCAAACATGTTTGCAATTGTACGGTTCACAATGGCTGTATAAAAGATCTCCTGCTTCTTTGAAAGTGGAGCATAAACGACTACTTCTCGTTTAGGAGGAACTTCAAGAGCAACATCAGACTTCAGTCTTCTCAATAAGAAAGGTGTTAAAATCTAAAATTAAAACATGAACAGAAAAATATGAGTATTAAACATTCTTGTTTTTCAAGGAATACTGTCCCCATATACTCCTTTACCTTATCTTTTGACTTCCTATATAAATAATGCCAAATCTCAAAAGGTGAAAATATCTTGAGATTTTCCCAGACCAGACCAAATGATAAACTCACAGTTGTCCGCAGCATTTCAGAATTTATTTTCTTTTAAAAACTGTAAGAATCTATCTCAAATAATTTTAAAAGTAAAAATATAAAGGTAGCATTTGTATTTCTTAGGGTTGAAGTTTCAGTTATAGCCCACAACTTTTAGAATGAGATGTTATCAGCACCATACAAAAGGGGAAATAATAAAAATGAATAAAAATTAAAAATATTTGAAATAATGAGTACAAAAAGTAGAAATAATAAGACCTAATATTTGGTAGCACAACAGGGTGACTACAGTCAATAATAATTTAACTTTTACATTTTAAAATATAAAGAAGAGTATAACTAGAGGCCAGGTGCGGTGGCTCACACTTGTAATCACAGCACTTTGGGAGGCCAAGACGGGTGAATCACCTGGGTCAAGAGTTTGAGACCAGCCTGGTGAACATGGTGAAACCCCATCTCCACTAAAAATACAAAAATTAGCTGGGTGTGCTGGCGGGTACCTGTAATCCCAGCTACTCAAGAGGCTGAGGCAGGAGAATTGTTTGAACCTGGAAGGCAGAGGTTGCAGTGAACCAGGATTGTGCCACTGCACTCCAGCCTGGGTGACAGAGCAAGACTCTGTCTCCACACACACACACACACAAAAGTGTATAACTGGATCATTTGTAACACAAAGGGTAACAAATGCTTGAAGGGATGGATACCCCATTCTCCATGATATGATTATTATGCATTGCATTTCTGTATCAATATCAAAACATATACCTCATAAATATATACATCTACTATGTACCCAAAAAACTAAAAGTTTTTTTAAAAATTAAAAATTTTTTAATAGAATGAGGTTTTAAGACTCAGTAAAAAGCCAGCTGACCTAGGGATGCAGACATACAAGTTTCCTTCTATAAGTTCTAAAGTTTCAGGCTTAAAATTATTCTCTTTCATTAGCTGGGGTGGTTACAAATGATTATCACATTTATAAAGAGAACACAGAAGCAACAGACAATAATTATGCATTAAAATATTCGGGTCACTAAAAGAGCACAAATACTAGATTAAAATCATTGTATACTCTAGGTCGGACGCAGTAGCTCACACCTGTAATCCCAGCAGTTTGGGAAGCCGAGGCGAGCAGATCACCTGAGGTCAGAAGTTTGAGACTAGCCTGGCCAACATGGTGAAATCCCGTCTCTACTAAAAAAACAAAAAAATTTAGTCAGGCGTGGTGGCGGGATTACAGAATCCCAGCTACTCGGAAGGCTGAGGCAGGAGAATGGCTTGAACTTGGGAGACAGAGGTTGCAGTGAGCCAAGATCTTGCCACTGCACCCTAGCCTGGGCGACAGAGACGTTGACTCAAAAAAAATACTACTACTACTACTAATAATAATAAACAAATAATTGTATACTCTTTATACCCCTGCCATTAAATACTGACAATGGTTTACATATAGTAATCATATATAATAAAGCTCATTTTCAGGACTCTGGACTTAAATACCCAACAGGTATAGAGCTAATCATAGACAGACTATTACCAAAGATAGTAAACACATTACCAGTGTTGGTATCTACCAACCCAAAAACAAATATGCCGACAGGCAATCAGGAAAAATATGTAAATGTTTCATAAACATGTTAAAACATGTCCGGCCGGGCGCGGTGGCTCACGCCTGTAATCCCAGCACTTTGGGAGGCCAAGGCAGGCGGATCACGAGGTCAGGAGATCGAGACCATCCCGGCTAACACAGTGAAACTCCGTCTCTACTAAAAAATAGAAAAAATTAGCCAGGCGTAGTGGCAGGCGCCTGTAGTCCCAGCTACTCGGGAGGCTGAGGCAGGAGAATAGCGTGAACCCGGGAGGTGCAGCTTGCAGTGAGCCGAGATTGCACCACGGCACTCCAGCCTGGGCAATAGAGCAAGATTCTGTCTCAAAAAAATAAAAATAAATAAATAAAATTAAAAAAAACATGTCCATGTCTGTAAGGAAAACATGAAATAACCAGATATTTTTCTACCACATGCACTGACAAATGCTATAGTTTGATGTTAACTGAAATGGCAAATATGTGGAAGAAGAGGCACACTATACCGCTGAAACACATGTATAAAAAAGGTATTTATATATGTTTTTCCTAGTATACAAGCTTTCAAAGCAGACAAAAACAAGACTTATACAAGACCCATCTACCAAAAATTAGCTGGACCTGGTGGCATGCACCTTTGGTTCCAGCAACTCAGAAGGCTGAGGCAGGAGGATCACTTGAACCCAGGAGTATGAGTTGGAGGCTGCAGATAACAACCCAATAACCAACGATGGCACCACTACTCTCCTGCCTGGATGTCATAGTAGGACATTGTCTCTAAAAAAAAAAAAAAAAATCTGTTGGCCAGGTGCAGTGGCTCACACCTGTAATCCCAGCACTTTGGGAGGCCAAGGCGGGCAGATCACTTGAGGTCAGGAGTTTAAGACCAGCCTGGCCAACATGGTGAAACCTCGTCTCCACTAAAAATACAAAAAAATTAGCCAGGTGTGGTGGCACACGCCTGTAATCCCAGCTGCTCAGGAGGCTAAGGCAGGAAAATCGCTTGAACCTGGGAGGCAGACGCTCACTGCACTCCAGGCCTGGGCAACAGAGTGAGACTCTGTCTCAAAAAAAAAAAACCAAAAAAACAAAAAAAAAAACAAAAACAAACAAAAAAAAAAAACAAAACAAAAAAACTATTAGTTATACTTTGGAGATAAGAAAGGAAGTGCAGAAGGAAAACAGAAATTTTTACTTCTTACTTTTTAATTTCTAAATGTTTATAACATTTAAAAATATCTTACCGTGTACGCATAATTTTAAAATAAAAAATTTTAAATAATTAATTTGTAAAGGTTATACTGCTTTTGGCCTTCAATATGGGGTGGAAATAGAAAAGTAGCAAGCTTAGAGAACTTTAAACGGAAAGTAAAAAAAATTTTTTTTACTATGCAAGGTTTATGTAAACATTGCATAAAAAAAGGAAAGGAATTCTTTCATATAGAAAATAGTTAAGAAAATATACTAGCGATTTAAAACTATCTCCACCTAATCTGAATTCATTTTGAATGAAAACTTTTTCCTGTAGTAATGCATTAAAACATAATTAGGACAAAGCGTAAAAGTAATATAAACTCAAATTTAAGCACAGTATTACAGAGAATATTCTTATTGCTAGAACATTCAAAACTGCCCCTATTTTTGATAAAACTGTTGAATTTGGATATAATAAAAGTTCATTATCATATCTTAATATTAATGGAAATCTGAAGTTATCTATAGTAAAACAATTCCAGTGAGCCCTCTTATGGAATTATCAACTATGACAATTACTACAAATGTTCAATCAAAAGGCAGATGATCATTTCTAAGGAATATCTATCTACCTGTATACACTGTGAGGTAACGTGTAAGTGACAAATTCTATAAATATTCATTGTCTTGACTCTAATTAAATTTCCTAAGAACAGAAACTTAATCCTTTGCTACACTATATGGATGTATACACTACTGATGAGGATGTGATATCCAAACACATCTCTTCCTAAATAAGTCATTTACTCCAATAATTCAGACTGGGACATTTAAAAGCTTCTATAACTATTGGTGCATTGAAATTTCTGTCATTGCCCAGAGTCACAGTGGGAAAAAAAGAAAATTTTAAATATAAACACACACGCTTGTGCACATGAACACACACAAAGATACCATAAACAAAGTTTATCCCAAAAAGTGAGGGGAAAGAAATTATTTGCAACATTAACTTATTTTTAACATATAGTTATTATAAACCATTAATAAATAAATATTCCAACACATGTTGGAATATGGCCACAAGGAACTACCAATAGTCAATAAACATCTCAATTCAGCAATAATCATCCTTTTTAATCTCTGCAACACTGAAAAGGACTTCTAACCTCAAAATTGGTATGAAGCTTGAGTAAATAAGTATTTTCATATGGACGTATATCATATAAATCTTTTCTGGAGGGCAATTTGCCTTCAAAGAAGCCCTCATCTGTAAACTCTGACACATACATTCTAGGAATTCTTTCCTAAGGAAATAGCCAGAAATGGGCAAAGGTGTAGTTTTAAATACAGATACTACAACCTTGTTTATATTGTTGAAAATTTTGAAAAGAGGAAGAGATAGATATTATTAATTATAGTAGAACAAGACAATGGGATAATAAGCAGCTATTAAAAACTGATTTAAATCTACATGTAGTAAAAGGAAAATAATTTTCTGATAACTGTTTAAAAGACTATCTTAAGGAACAATTTTATTTTTAAAGTCCTTTTCTTCATAAAATATAGATAAAACACACGTGTTTACACAAAGACAGAAAAGAGTTTGGATTGTCATATAACACAACATAATCATTCCACATGCACTGCTAGGAAATACAATTTTAAGAGGAAGTGATATTTTTACTTTTCACTTCTCTCCTGCTTCACGTTTTTCTCATGAACATGTATAAACTTTAATATCAGAAAAAACGATAAAGACTTTGAATAAAATTGCTAAACCACAACTGAGAAGCTTTTCAGGCCCATATGACTAGATTACCCTTGAAAGATAATGTTTCTCTAAATTAAAGATAGGTAGGATGGGGTAGGAATTACAGGAAGCAATAAAAATAGATTAGACAGCAGCCATGCAAGGATGTAAATTATAAAAGTATTATTGGCAAGCATTCCATAAAAACCACATACTTCTGTTTTGTGCTTGACAAACTTATCAGTAACCATTAGGGGTAAAATGAGTATACTATCTGAAAAGGACAAAACTTAGGTAAGCACTTGAGTTCTGTCATAAAACCATGTGACCTCTGGGAGAAGAAAGGACAAAGGAGTCATTTAAATGTAGGAGGATCTTCATTTTTCAAATCTCTACTACAAAGGGTTAGACAGGTGATCTCCAGAGTTCCTTTTATACTCTATCGAGCCTATGGTTAAGCAGAATAAGAAAACATGGAAAACCTGGTGCAGCATATGCAATACATTCTGTTCTCTTTCTTTAGCAATAATATCTTCAGCAGTTTCAGAAAGACTAGTGATGTCAAACCAAGACTCAAAGCTGGAAGAGAAAAATGTTTAAGTTAACCATCACATAAATTCAATTATGTCAACATGATACATGATTTATCATTTACAGTAATAATCTGATAATGAAACGTGGTATTGTTGCATCAAATCCTTAGGTGCAATTTTTAAAATTTATAATGGAAGAGAACACATTCCAACAACAAAGATAAATTGGTTGCATTTTTGAACCATCAAGAACTGTGAGCTTAAAGGGAACACTTTTCTGATTTATAAATAGATTAACAATTGTACAGTAGTATAAAAATCAAAAATAAGATTAAGGTATATATTTATAATTTTACATTACAAAAGTGAGAACTATCTCTGAAAACCAAAGCCATATGATTTTTCTCCATCAGTCTAAGTATGGCCCACTACAATAAATATTTTAAAATTCAACATATACATAACTTGACAATAATATACATGCTTATTCCTTCCCAATGTTGAAAATATATATATTACAATGAGCAATTAAGTATGAGCATGCAGATTAATAATATAGAATAGGTAACATTATACCCAATTCTGGAAAATGCTAGTAACATTTATGCAGTAGACTAGAAGTTCCCAAACTTGGATCACCAGAAGCATGTTCAAAAAACTCAGATTCTCAACTCCTACCTTGACACTGTAACTCAGTATGTCTGCACAGGACCTGGAATTCTTGTCTTTCAATAAAAGCGCCCAGAGTCACAATAAGGTAGCCTGCCTTGAGCCACCATTCGGTAACCAGATTTGAAATAAATTCCCAAAATTTAAAATTATTTTTCCACACCCAATTAGCTTACTTCCTTCACTGATGCCAAAACAAGTATAAATTATTTTTTGCCCAAGTTATATTTCCGTTGTAATCAGTTTTAAATTATGTCAACATTACCTCCTCCTCCATTCTGAAGCTACTAATTACTTTCTGAAAACTACTTTTATGTCTGATTTTATTATATAAGCTAAGATTCAAACAGTTTCCAGAATTAAAACACTGTGTTTACATTGGGAGACCTTGGTTTTAACTTTGGCTCTGGTGCTAACTAACTAGTCTTATCTTGTAACAACTTTACACCTAGGTTTTCTTTTATGTGAGATAGGAAATAATTTAACAACTCTATTGTCCCTGGTTGTTTAATGAGGATATAGTAAGAAAAATCCATCTTAAAATGTTTTACAAAGGTAACACATAAAAGAACCTTATTATAAAAATATTATCTTAAAGTTGCATTCAGCAGTCTTCCTTTAATCAATGCAAGTAAGTTTTAAATAATCTTTTCTTAATCTGCTCTCACATAATTTGTGGCAGGAGTAGAACATACAATATACACCACAAAGAACTTGCCAAATATTTGGCATTTTAATTCAGTCACTGAAAAGAAAGTAATTTTAACTAACAGCACAGATTTTTGAGGTTAAATCATTAAATAACTGGCTTACCCACCTTTTCAAGTCATCAAATACATCTGGCAACAAAAAGTTTAGCAATGACCAAAGTTCTGATAAATTGTTTTGCAAGGGAGTACCAGTCAAAAGAAGTTTGTTATCAGCATTGAATCGTTTTAACTCCCTGATTAGACGGCACTTCATATTCTTAATCCTGTGTCCTTCATCTACTATTAAGTATTTCCAATAGCAATGCTAGAAAACGAATTGAGGAAAAAGATTTTTAAACAATGATCTCACAATTTTTCTAACAAGAATTCTAAAAATAAAACCTCTATTATGAGGGATGGATGTTGAATTTTATCAAATGTAATTTCAGTAACTACTGAAATGATCATGTTTTCATTTGATCCACTTACAAGGATTCCTAAAACTGATAGATATTTCTGTTCCTGGAAGAGACCTACTAAAATATGCAATAAAGTTTGAACTCCACCTATTTTGAATTTAAGATTTCCCTATTCACACCTTAGTCAACGCAGTTGTAGCTTTCTTTTCTAATATTTTCCCAAGTTTTGATATTAATGTTACACTAGACTACTAAAAATTGAGCTTTTATTAGTTCCATATGTGCTGAAACATCAAATAGCACTAGAATTTTCCCTTATTTAAGCAATTTATATTTTCACAGAAAGTCACCCACTCACTTTCATAAAGTTATCAAGGAAATTGTTTTAACTTTCTCATTTTAATATCTGTGATTTCTCATATATCTTAATCAGGAAAATTTATAATTAATCTAATTTATATTAACATACAGAAATATGAAGTATTTCTGGAAATATAAATAACAATCTGAAAAATATAACTATCCTTAAAAAATGGGACTGACAAATTGAGGAAAGAGTATAGAGAACGTTTTGCATTTTGCTTTATACATCCCAAAAGAATGAAAAAAGTTTATAGTACTGTATCTTCTTTATTAAAATAACCAAGAAAGGATTTATTTTCCTGGCAATATGTTAAACCAAAAAACCTGAATTATCTCTCACTGTAAGACAGCTATCTAAAAATCCAGATAAAAATATAAAATATCCTTGGCCGGGCGCAGTGGCTCAGGCCTGTAATCCCAGCACTTTGGGAGGCCGAGGCAGACGCATTACCTGAGGTCAGGAGTTTGAGACCAGCCTGGCCAACTTGGTGAAACCCCGTCTCTACTAAAAATACAAAAATTAGCTGGACGTAGTGGCACATGCCTGTAATCCCAGCTACTCAGGAGGCGAGGCAGGAGAATTGCTTGAGCCCGGGAGACAGGTTGCAGTAAGCCGAGATCGTGCCACTGCACTCCAGCCTGGGTGACAGAGTGAGACTGTCTCAAAAAAAAAAAAAAAAAAATGTGTGTGTGTGTGTGTGTGTGTATATATATATATATATATATATATATATATATATATATATATATACTTTTATAATGGGTATGTGAGAGAAAAGAAAACAAGGAAATAAATGATGAGGAATCTGAAAGCCAAATTAGCAAGTGAACTCAGTCACTTCCACTCGCACTCAGCAACAAAAGCCCTGGAACCTCACACTCCGTTACCAGAGTAAGCTAAGATCCTTGAAATGATAATATAAGCTCACTTAAATGGAAAAAGTCAAAAGTTTCTAGCCACTGGCAAAGGAAATGGACAAGGAAGCTTAACTATTTCATTACAGGAAGGGTCTTCATGTTATACTACTGAGTAGAAAACACAAGTTGCAAAAGTGAATGCAGGCTGGAAGTGGTGGCTCACACCTGTACTCCCAGCACTTTGGGAGGCCTAGACAGTTGGATGGCTTGAGACACCCTGTTCCTACAAAAAAATACAAGAATCAGTCAGGTGTGATGACGGACGCCTGTAGTCCCGGCTACTCAGGAGACAGAGGTAGGAGAATCACTTGAGCCCAGGAGATTCAGGCTACAGTGAGCTGAGATCGTGCCACAGGACTCCAGCCTGGGTGACAAAGTGAGACCCTGTCTCGGACCAAAAAAAAAAAAATTGAATGTATAGTATGATCATATGTGTAAATTATACCTACATGTTAGCTATAATTATTTAGTATAAAAGTAGTAGTTCTCTGGGAGGCTGAGGCGGGCGGATCACGAGGGCAGGAGATCGAGACCATCCTGGCTAACACAGAGAAACCCCATCTCTACTAGAAATACAAAAAAATTAGCCGGGCATGGTTGTGGGCACCTGTAGTCCCAACTACTCGGCAGGCTGAGGCAGGAGAATGGTGTGAACCTGGGAGGTGGAGCTTGCAGTGAGCTAAGATCGCGCCACTGAACTCCAGCCTGGGCAACAGAGCAAGACTCTGCCTCAAAAAAAAAAAAAAAAAGAAAAAAGTAGTAGTTCTCAGGTAGAATTACAGGTGCTTTTACATCTTCCTGTACACTACCCTTTAAAAAAAATTGGTATATATTACTTTTACTGTAAAGAAATGCTTTAAATCAGGGGTCCCCAACCCCCAGGTCACAGACCTGTAGGGGTCCATGGCATGTTAGGAACCAGGCCACACAGCAGGAGGTAAGCAGCTGTGAGCGAGGGAAGCCTCGTCTGTATTTACAGAAAAGGGAAGCTTCATCTGTATTTACAGCCACTCCCCACTGCTCACATTATGGCCTGAGCTCTGCCTCCCGTCAGATCAGGAGACATTATATTCTCATAGGAGCATGAACACTATTGTGAACTGCACATCCAAGGGATCTGGGTTGTCTGGGTTGTGCGCTCCTTATAAAAATCTAATGGTGGATGATTTGTCACTGTCTCCCATCATCCCTAGATGGAAAACAAGCTCAGGGCTACCACTGATTCTACGTTATGTTGAGTTGTAAAATTATTATTATTTTGAGACACAGTCTCACTTGGTTGCCCAGCCAACCAAGCGGCATGATCTCGGCTCACTGCAACATCCGCCTCCCGGGTTCAAGCAATTATCCTGCCTCAGCCTCCCAAGGAGCTAGGCCACTATGCCCAGGTAATTTTTGTATTTTTGTAGAGATGTGGTTTCACCATGTTGGCCACCATCTTGGCCAGGATGGTCTCAAACTCCTCACCTCAAGTGATCTGCCCGCCTAAGCTTCCCAAAGTGCTGGGATTACAGGGGTGAGCCACTACGGCCAGCCCTATTATTTCATTATATATGACAATTTTATAATAATAAAAATAAAGTGCACAATAATTATAATGCATTTGAATCATTCTGAAACCATCCCCCACCCATGGTCCATGGAAAACTTGTCTTCCACAAAACCGGTTCCTGGTGCCAAAAGGTTGGGGACTACTGGTTTAAATTTTTTTTTCTTTTTGAGACAGACTCTCACTGTAGCACAGGCTAGAGTGCAGTGGCGCAATCACAGCTCACTGCAACCTCCACCTCCTGGGTTTAAGCAATCCTTGTGCCATTAAACATGTGCACCATCACACCCAGCTAATTTTTGTATTTTTTTTTTTTTTTTTTTTTTTTTTTGAGACGGAGTCTCGCTCTGTCGGCCCAGGCCGGACTGCGGACTGCAGTGGCGCAATCTCGGCTCACTGCAAGCTCCGCTTCCCGGGTTCACGCCATTCTCCTGCCTCAGCCTCCCGAGTAGCTGGGACTACAGGCGCCCGCCACCGCGCCCGGCTAATTTTTTTGTAATTTTTAGTAGAGACGGGGTTTCACCTTGTTAGCCAGGATGGTCTCGATATCCTGACCTCATGATCCACCCGCCTCGGCCTCCCAAAGTGCTGGGATTACAGGCGTGAGCCACCGCGTCCGGCCTAATTTTTGTATTTTTAGTGGAGACAGGGTTTCGTCATGTTGGCCAGGCTGGTCTGGAACTCCTGGCCTCAAGGGATCTGCCCACCTCAGACTCCCAAGTGCTGGAATTACTGGCATAAGCCTTCATGCCCGGCCTGGTTTAAATACTTTTTAATGCTGTACACATTCATAAACTTTGCTAAACTCCTGAACTGAGATTTCTGCAAATCATATTCCAAAGTTTTACCAGCAGACACATAAAACCTGACAATACTGGTCATAATTATGCAAGTCATAATTATTCTATTTATGACTTATGTGTTTTGATTTTATGTTGAAACCATTAAATACTTTCCTATTTCCAAGCAAGCAAGATAAACCTAAGGGGACTGCACTAAGAGGGTTCTCACATGGCCAGAGAAAGGAAAAAAAAAGCAGTCAAGAATTATAAATGAATGAGGTAGAGCAGTGAGGAAGAAGTTCAAAACACCAATAAATGAAAACAGAAGGCATGAAAGAAAAAAGGTCAATCTTTCAATTCTGTTATGCTAACTGGAAATTATTTAAATAAGTAGCTAGAACATCAAGAAAATAGAAACGAAAATGCTACCAAATAGTCCAATAAGATACTCTAAAAATAACTTGTCTTCAAATACTCTTATTTGATTAAAATACGATAAGTAAATTCCATATATTCAAAGTACCTGTCACAAATATATCTGTAATACATTCCGAGATTAGGTCTATTTCTGGATGATTCTAAGCCATAGGTTAAACTGCCATAAGCTTTAATTATATTGTTACAAATGATGGCCTTCATCCCAATCATTCTGTTAATAAAAGTTTCCAGCTTCTACAGGTATATGCACAATATAATCTATTATTTCGACAACAAAAAAAAATTAGACAAATGCTCCCAGATGGTGAGAAAGTGATATAAATGAAGAAAAGCATGTTTTATGTATTACAAAGAAACCAATGAAGATCATTTGTACCTGTAACGCATTTCGGTCTCTCATGGCTATTTCAAATGACGTGATTACCACAGGATGAATCTGCAAAGTCCCTTTCCGTTTGTAAATATTTCTTACCAATTTTTGACGTTCCTCCTGGGTTCCATGATATAACATTGTAGGGATCTGAAAAATTTTATATTGATTTTTATCAGACTTAAGAACAAAATGTAAATATTGACTATTTAGAAAATATAAATCATTCTGAGGGAAAAAATATAATTTTAAAAAATTTTATTTCTATTTTTCTATAGCAAAATAAGCCAAGCAATTCTAACAAATCATTGAACTATTATGGGAGAAAATGAAAAAAAAACAAACAAAAAAACAAAGTCAGGCCCAGCACAATGGCTCACACCTATAATCTCAACACTTTGGGAAGCCAAGGCAAGCCGATCTCTAAAGTCCAGTAGTTCGAGATCAACCTGAGCAACATGGAGAAATCCCATCTCTACAAAAAATACAAAAATTAGCTGGTGTGGTGGTACGCACCCGTAGTGCCAGCTACTCACCCAGTGGAGTGAGATGGGAGGTTCACATGAGCTACTCAGGCGTGTGAGATAGCAGGCTCACATGAGCCTGGGAGGTGAAGGCCACAGTGAGCCAGAATGACGCCACTGCACTCCAGCCTGAGCAACAGAGCAACATCCTGTCTGAAGACAAAAAAAAAGGCATAAAAACAAATAGACGGGCCAGGTGGGATGGCTCATACCTGTAATCCCCAGCACTTTGGGAAGCTGAGGCGGGCAGACCACCTGAGGTCGGGAGTTCCAGACCAGCCTGACCAACATGGAGAAACCCCGTCACTACTAAAAATACAAAATTAGCCAGGCGTGGTGGCGCACGCCCGTAATCCCAGCTACCTGGGAGGCTGAGACAGGAGAATCGCTTGAACCCGGGAGGCGGAGGTTGCACTGAGCCGAGATCGTGCCATTGCACTCCAGCCTGGGCAACAACAGTGAAACTCTGTCATACACACACACACACACACACACACACACACACACACACACACAAACACAACCCCCCCCCCAACAAAAAACCTACAAATACATAAAACACATATAGGCTGGGCGCAGTGGCTCACACCTGTAATCCCACCACTGTGGGAGGCCAAGGTGGGCGGATCACAAGGTCAGGAGATAGAGGCCATCTTGGCCAACATGGTGAAATCCTGTCTCTACCAAAATACAAAAAATTAGCCTGGCCTTGTGGTGTGCGCCTGTAGTCCCAGCTACTACACTCCAGCATGGTGACAGAGACAGACTCCATTTCAAAATAAATAAATAAATAATATATATATAAATATATAAAATGAGACAGATGGTGATACTACGTCTAGAATATATATATTTCTCATAAGGCAAAAATGTGCAGAAGGGCTGGGCCCGGGAGGTACAGTGGCTCACGTCTATAATCCCAGTACTTTGAGAGGCCAAAGTGGGCAGATCTCTTCAGGCCAGGAGTTCAAGACCAGCCTGGCCAACATGGCAAGACATCGTCTCTACTAAAAACATAAAATTAGCTGGGCATGGTGGCACATGCTTGTAATCCCAGCTACTCCGGTGGCTCAGGCACAAGAATTGCTTCATCATGGGAGGCAGAGATTGCAGTGAACCAAGACTGCATCACTGCCCTCCAGCCTGGGTAACAGAGACTCCATTTCAAAAAAAAAAAAAAAAAAAAAAATTGCAGAAGGTAACAAGTACAGAAAAAACAGAAAACTCTCTTCTTAGCCTTTTGGCAAAGATCAAGTGAAGAACAAGCAGAATTTTTAATAAAATCTCTACCTAAGTCTGTCTCAGTCGAATCAAATTACCAATGCACTGAAAATCATTCAGGAATATTTTAGGAAAGATGTCAGGGATTTCCAAAACCTATACTATATAAATTTAAATTAGGGTATTGTGCAGATTGAGTAAGTCAAATCAGACAAAATATTTATACAGAAACCAATATAATTATAAGAGTTCTACAATTTAATTCCTACTACAACAAAGCATAAGAAAACATGTAAAATTATAATTTTAACATAAGGAAGCATGTCTTACATCTGGTGTAAATCTTTTGAATTCAGCCATCCAGTTAGGAAGTGTAGACAAAGGGCCACAGACAAGAAAAGGTCCTGGTACTCCTCTCTGAATCATCAATGCAATAGTAGCAATGCACTGAACTGTCTTACCCAATCCCATTTCATCTGCTAAAATGCCATTAATTCCATTTTCCCAAAGCATCTGGACAAAATAATAGATACTGTATTTAAACTTGGATATAAACAACTACAGGATTACAATATTTTATTTCTTCTCTTTAAAAAATCACACCCAAAGATGAGAATTATGTTAAAGCTGATATATTCACACCATAAATTATAACAACACTGGAAAGTCCTTTATCAAAGCCATAAAAGTGCTGGAAGCCATTAACAAGGTAATTTCTACTTCTAAAAATTCAGGGTAAAGAAATCAGAAAGCAAGTATCCACATACAAATGTATAATAGTGAAACATGATAGAAATGACTCAAGTTGTGGTACCTCAAATCATTAGGCTACTATAGAAATAAAACCAGTATCTTGTATTAAAAATTCCAATTCATTACCCTAAGCCATTCCATGCCTTCTACTTGGTACCATCGCATCACTCCTCCAGTGAAGTGCTTTGGTTGTTGAAAAGGTACTGGCTGACCATTACACTTCCGGACTGGGTCAAAAAAGAATTTAGTATTCTGCCTAACCGTTTCAGACAATCTATCTTTAATTATACTATTCGAATCTTTATTTTTCTGAAGATCTTCCACACAGAGATTAGTAGAGGAGGAGTTTTCATCCTGTAGAGAAAAAAAGTTTAATAAGATGTGTTATACAAAATGCTGCTGTATGCCACCATTTATCAGAAAATGCAACTAACAAAATCTACTGAGTCCTATAATCATTAAGTATAGAAGACTAAGATCACACCTGGATTAAAAAACTGGAGACATCGCCATCCCTCTACAAATGAAAAGCTACTAAAAAAAAAAATAACAGGCTGCCACAGTGGCTAATCCTACAATCACAGCACTTTGGGAAGCTGAGGCAGGAGGATCACCTGAGTCCAGGTATCCAAGACAACCCTGGACAACATGGCGAAACCCTGTGTCTACTAAAAATACAAAAAATTAGCTGGGTGTGGTTGCACGCAACTGCCTGTATCCCAGCTACTCGGGAGGCTGAGGATCACTTAAACCCAGGAAGTCAAGGCTGCAGTGAGCCATGAACACAGCCACTGCACTCCAGCCTGGGTGACAGAAGACTCCATCTCAAAAAATAAAATAAAATAAAATAAAATAAAATATAAAAATCTGAGAATAACCCTTACAAATTAAAATCAGGCACATACTTTTGAAAAGATCATTAGAATTGTATCTCTCTTCCAAACTTCTAATATTGTGATACTCAATAATTTATTAAACTGTTACACAGAAAATACAGTACGCATAAATAAGACGGGCAAAAGATATTAACAGATACTTTACAAAAGAAAACATACAGGCCGGGCATGGTGGCTCACGCCTGTAATCCCAGCATTTTGGGAGGCCAAGGCAGGCAGATCATGAGGTCAAGTGATCAAAACCATCCTGGCCAAAATGGTGACACACTGTCTCTACTAAAAATACAAAAATTAGCTGAACATGGTGGCATGAGCCTGTTGTCCCAGCTACTTGGGAGGCTGAGGCAGGAGAATCGCTTGAACCTGGGAGGCAGAGTTTACAGTGAGCCGAGATCGTGCCATTGCACTCCAGCCTGGGCGACAGAGTGACACTCCATCTCAAAAAAGAAAAAAAAAGAAAGAAAACATAGTTATCAAAGAACATAAAAATATACTCTACTTCAGTAGTAATTAGGAAAATGCAAGTTAAAAACCACACAAGTTACCATTTCTCATCTAATAAAATGGCTGAAATTAAAAAGACTATCAAATGCTGACAATAATGTAAGCTGGAGTTTTCAAACATTGCTGGCGAGAGAATAAAATGATGTGTTTACTTTGGGGGGGAAAATCTGTACTTTCTTATGAACACACATTTGCCACGTAACACAACAATACCATTCCCAGGTACACAGGCAGAAAGTATGAAAACATGTCTACACATGGACTTGTGTGCAAATTATCATAGCAACCTTACTCATAAAAGTCACAAACTGCAAACAACCCAAATGCCCATCAATAAGGGGATGGATGAGAAAATTGTAACATTCATTCAACAGAATACTAGTCAATAAGAAGAAACCGGTTACTAATATGCTCAACAACATAAATGAGTATCACAGACATGTTGAGTGGAAAGGAAATAATAAGCCATCCTATAAAAGGTGTAAAAAGTGGCCTCCTCTGGGTTTGGGGGTGGAAAGACATAGAAGAGATCCCTTTACAATGGAAATGTTCTATACCTTGATTTGGATGGTGGTTACACAAGTGTATGCAAGTGTCGAAATTCATTAAAATACCATACTTAACAACTATTTCTTACTGACTGTAAGTTATAAAATGAAGCCAAAATCCCATAGTAAATTACAGAAGATTACATCTAGACTTTATCTTAAAAATCCAACTAAATGTTTATCTAACTAAATCTTTAAAAATCCAACTAAACTGCACCCATAAACCAGTCCTTAATAACTTAACAAAGAATAAAAACCAAGACACTTTTACAATATAAATTTTGGACAAAATTATATGACCAAATAGATTATCTCTCATTTTATAAACATAACATTAATTTCCCAAAGGCCTAAAAATCTTTAATATGTAAATTAACTACCTGAAGTTCATATCCATTCATGAATATTTTCATGTCATGATTATTTTGCTTCCCTAGGCAACCTTGTAATTTTAAGTACTTGAACAATAAAAAGTCAGATAACAAGGAACCTCTCTACATGAAATGGGCTAAGTGAAGAGGTGGCTCGGAAATCAAGCCTTCTCAAACAGAACTTTTAAGAAACTTAAAAAATCTTTAAGGTCTGAAGCAAGATTAAGGCATCCCTCACAGCTTCCATAAGATGATTCACGGTTTATATCCACATGGTTACGAGCACTTGTATCACTGCCAGATTCACAAGTTAAAAGCAACATTGCTAGACCCATAAATTAACATTTATACATCAAGAATCATGCAATAAAACAACTAACTAAAGTTGATACATAAAAAAGAAGAATGTTGGATATGGAAGAAGTGAATACATAGGTATTTTTTTTTAAAGCAAAGAAACAGGATAATAGTGAGAAGAACGTATACTGCTGATTAAAGAAAAAGGACTAGTAACTGAGGAGTAAATATGACTTCTAAACTTAATCTTACATTATAAATTTCTTACCTCATTCTCCTTTTTATTTTTTTTAGCCACAGACAAAATTTCCTAGTAGTTTGAGAAAACAAAAACAAATTAATAATGTATGAAGTTCATTTATTTATTTATTCAACAAGCATTTATTCTGTGCTCATTTTGCCAGGAAATGAGGATGAGATTCTCAAGATAAAACTAGTAGCCTTCAGGCAGAAATAAGCCTATAGACATTACTGGCTCATAATATTTCATAACATTCTAGGCTAATTTGGGAACACTTATACAATGGGATATTTCATCAAATACAGTGATTTTCCAGCTTTTCTTTCTTTTAATCTGAGTAGATTAAGTACAAATTCACACATGGCAACAAACCTCTAGTCCTGGGGTCAGCAAACTACAGCCTGTAGACCAACTCCAGCTAAGCGAATACACAGGTATTTTTTTAAAAGCAAAGAAATGGGATAAATTGGAACAAAGTCAGCCTCACTTGTTTACGGTTTGTCTATGGCTGCTTTCAAGCAACAACAGCAGAGTACAGGGTTGAGTAGTTGCCCACAAAACTACTCAAAAGCTAAAAATATTTACTATCTGGCTATTTACAGAAAAAGTTTGCCAAACCATGTTACAGCCCACTTTAGGCCTCTGTGGATAGACATCTGAGTTTGCATTCCTGGGTAAGAGGCAAAGACAGAAAAAATTAAAAATACAGAATAAAGTGCTCTGATTTTGAAGTACCTACTAGATGCTGCTGGTAGGGAGACAAACAATACCCGAGTATGTCACTGGATGACTTAGCAAATAATTATCTTACATAAAATTATCTAAAAAGTTGTCACCAGGCTTCATCATTCAAGATAGTGAGGGTAGATTTCAAGCAGAGAGAATATAGAAGGCATAGGGGATGAAGTAGATTCAAAACAGCAATATCAAATTTAAGATTCATAGAAGAGTAACAGGACATGTAAGTGGCTGACACACACACATATATATACATGGGAATATATGTATATCGTGTGTGTATGAAGTATTATGTATGTATAGATATTCATATTATAAGGCTGAGGCTAAAAGGATTTTATACCAGGAACTGATAAAAGCTGTCCTGTAAAATGACTAGATAAAATGAAACTTTTGAAAGAACAATTTGGAAATAAATCAAAATCTATAAATACCACCAATGAAGTATTCTTATTAAAAATCAAGCATGGGCAACATGGTGAGATCCCATCTCTACAAAAAATATAAATGTTGGCTGGGCTTGGTGGTACACGCCTGTAGTCCCAGCTACTCAGGAGGATGAGGTGGGAGGATTGCTTGAGCCCAGCAATCAGAGGTTCAATGAGCCGAGATGGCACCACTGCACTCCACCCTGGGCAACAGAGAAAGATCTTGTCTCCCAAAAAAAAATAAAAATAAAAAAAAAAATAAAAAAACACCTTAATCACAAACTTCCGTATTTAACTTATAGTTACTATAGTTAACAGGAAACACAAGAGGCAGAGAAATCATGGGGATACAATCAGTAAAGTCTAGAATGTGGGGAATTATACAGAATTACTCATTTTCTTCAACAAATAATGTTTCTTAAAAAAGATGAGAGACACTCTAGATCTAAAAGAGACCCAAGATACGCATTAATCAAACACAATTTATGTAACTTTTTCGGATCCTGATTTGAACCAACTATTTTTTTAAAATGTATGAGCTAAGCAGATCACAGCGGTAAGTGCCTATAGTCCCTGCACTACTACTCGGGACACTGAGGCAGGAGGATCATGTGAGCCCAGGTGTTTGAGGTGTAGTCACTATGACAATACTCAGGAATAGCCACTGCACTCCAGTCTCGTCAATACAGCAAGCCCCCATCCCTAAAAATAAAAATTAGCCTATTGAGAAATTTAAATATTAAGGAATTCCCATCGACTTTCAAAAGTGTGGTAACTGTATTGTGGTTATGGTTCTAAAAAATAGTCTTGGCCGGGCATGGTGGCTCAAGCCTGTAATCCCAGCACTTTGGGAGGCCAAGTCAGGCAAATCACAAGGTCAGGAGTTTGAGACCAGCCTGGCCAACATGGTGAAACCCTGTCTCTACTAAAAATACAAAAAATTAGCTGGGCGTGGTGGTGGGCACTTGTAATCCCAGCTACTTGGGAGGCTGAGACAGGAGACTCACTTGAACCCAAGAGGCAAAGGTTGTAGTGAGCCGAGATCATGCCACTGCACTCCAGCCCAGGTGACAGTGCGAGACTCCACCTTAAGAAAAAAAAAAAGTCTTGCTGAGCTTTTTGTTAAAATATCCCAGAATTAAAAAGCGATTGGCTGGGCGTGGTGGCTTATGCCTCTAATCCCAGCACTTTGGGAGGCCGAGGCGGGCGGGTCACCTGAGGTCAGGAGTTCAAGACCAGCCTGACCAACATGGAGAAACCCCATCTCTGATAAAACTAAAAATTAGCCGAGCATGATGGCACATGCCTGTAATCCCAGCTACTCGGGAGGATGAGGCAGGAGAATCGCTTGAACCTGAGAGGCGGATGTTGCTGTGAGCCAAGATCATGCCACTGCACTCCAGCCTGGGCAACAAGAGTGAAACTCTATCTCAAAAAAAAAAAAAGTGATAAAGGTGGACATTCAATTTACTATCCTCTAAACATTTGTAATTTTTGAGATTTTCCGTAATACAAAGAAAAAGAACATACATATACCAAAATGTTAGTGATTATCTGTGTGACAGCTTTTCAGGTGATTTCCTTGTATTTTGTTTATTCTCAAATTTTTCTACAAGAAAATGCAATTCCTTGTGAAACCATAAAAAGTAATGGAGGTTATGAGTAATTATATTTGAGTTTCAGAAAAACCAATCTGGTACTCTTGACAATGAGAGCTAGACTAGGATTATAAAAATCAATTAAGAAACTACTATAAATAGGGCACAGTAAGGGCATAAACACCAGAGTAGCAGCAAATGAAATGACTCACAGAAATCGATAAAAATCTAGATATATAAGGAAATTCAGATAACCTCCTAAATTGTTTTAGATGACACAGTAGATACTGGTTCTGATATTAACACCAAAAAAAGAGAAAACAAAAGAGCAAGATTCGGAAGAGAGGAAAAGATAAATTGTTTGCTTTGTGCTAGGTATCAATTTCAAAGATACCAATAAATTCAACTGGTAGGCGTAAAACTGCTCAACTGCATAATGTGTAAGGAAATATGCACAGGCTACTCTTTAAAAAAAAAAAAAAAAGGGCCAGGCGCGGTGGCTCACGCCTGTAATCCCAGCCCTTTGGGAGGCCAAGGCAGATGGATCACAAGGTCAAGAGATCTAGACCATCCAGGCCAAAATGGTGAAACTCCATCTCTACTAAAAATACAAAAATTAGCTGGGCGTGGTGACGTGTGCCTGTAGTCCCAGCTACTCAGGATGCTGAGGCAGGAGAATCACTTGAACCCGGGAGGCGGAGGTTGCAGTGAGTCAAGATCGCAGCACTGCATTCCAGCCTGGCGACAGAGCGAGACTCTCTCTCCAAAAAAAAAAAAAAAAAAAAAACCAGGGTTTCATTCTCTTGCCCATGCTGCAGTGCAGTGGCGCAATCTCACCTCACTGCAGCCTTCACCTCCCCAGGCTCAGGTGATCCTCTCACCTCAGCCTCCTGTGTAGCTGGGACCAAAGTCATGCACCACCACACCTGGCTATTTCTGTATTTCTTTTTGTAGAGACAGGATTTCGCCATGTTGCCCAAACTAGTCTTAAACTCCTGGGCTTAAGTGATCCTCTCACCCTGGCCTCCCAAAGTGCTGGGATAACAGGTGTCAGGCATCATGTCCAGTCCAGCCTACTCTTAAAAAGCTTGGAAATAGGCCGGTGCAGTGGCTCATGCCTGTAATCTCAGCACTTTGGGGGCCAAGGTGGGTGGATCACCTGAGATCGGGAGTTCGAGACCAGCCTGACCAACATGGAGAAACCCCGTCTCTACTAAAAATACAAAATTTGCCAGGCGTGGTGGCACATGCCTGTAATCCTAGCTACTCGGAAGGCTGAGGCAGGAGAATCGCTTGAACCTGGGAGCCGGAGGTTGCAATGAGCCGAGATGGCGCCATTGCACTCCAGCCTGGGCAACAAGAGCAAAACTGTGTCTCAAAAAAAACCTTGGAAATAAAGAATAAAAAACAGGGCAATCTAGAAAGACTGGATCAAAAATTTTTGTTCTGCAGACAGGAAAACACAATGTATCTATAATTGAAAGGCAAAGACCCAGTGAGGAAGGAAAAGGTGAAGAAACAGAAGGGATAACTTGGAGGAGCAGGGTCCACAGTGGCAGAACACTCAATTGGGTTATACCCCTCCAAATGCATTCACAGATTTAGAGATTCTTCAGCAAGTAAGGTGAGAATGAAACAATGGAAAGAATTTAGTTAGGCGAAGAGGAAAAGAGAGCAGGAAATTCAGTAAATATACAGAAGAAAGAAGTAACAGTAAATGAAAGAATAACTGGTATGGGACCAGGCATGGTGGCTCACACCTGTAATCCCAGCACTTTGGAAGGCAGAGGCAAGCAGATCACTTCGGGTCAGGAGTTTGAGACCAGCCTGGCCAAGATGGTGAAACCACCTCTCTATGAAAAAATACAAAAACAGCCAGGCGTGGTGGCACGTGCCTGTAGTCCCAGGCGCTGGACTACTCAGGGAGCTGAGGTGAAAGAATTGCTTGAACTGGGAGACGGAGGTTGCAGTGAGCCGAGATCACCACTGCACTCCAGCCTGGGCCACACAGTGAAACTCTGTCTTAAAAAAAAAAAAAGAAAAGAAAAAGAAAGAAAGAAAAACTACTATGCCCACAGATCTCTGAATAAACTAGCCAAGTGATTTACCAAAATGGAAATTTGCTTAAAATCTTTCAATAGCTTCCTACTTTACTTATGGCAGCCTTAAACTCCTGACCATGCTTACATCGACAGCTTCATCCTTCCTTCATCACTCTTTTCACTTATATACAAATTGGAGGCAAATATAATTTACTTCAAGTTTTTTGAAACTGCCAGTCTCTCTTGACCCTGGATATTTGTTCAATGCTATTATTTCTTCCTAAAACACCTCCCCCACTATCTTACCTGTACTTTACTCTTTCCCTATTAATCCCACCTTTAAATAATTTAACTTTTATCCTTCAAGTCACAACACAGATATCATTTCCTTTTCATAGATGAAAAGGTTCAGGAACTGCATGCCAGAGTGAAGAGCCCCTCTAATATGGTGTATAAACATCCAATTCCCAACCGGACACAGTGGCTCAGACCTGTAATCCCAGTACTCTGGGAGGCCGAGGCAGGAGCCCAAAAATTCGAGGCCAGCCTAGACAACATGACAAAACCCCATCTCTACAAAAAATACAAAAATCAGCCAGGCCTGGTGGCACAGGCATGTAGTCCCTGCTACTGGGGAGTGTGAGATACGAGGATCACTTGAGTCTGGGAGGTTGAGGCTGCAGTGAGCTGAGATTGTGCCAGCTGCATTCGAGCCAGGGTAATAGAAACACTGTCTCAAAAAAAAAAAAATTCAATTTCATTGACTACTTACTCCTATATCTCTCTCTGTATGCAGGCTAAGGTGAAGACAGCATTTACCTTTCTTTACTAATGGATTTCATCCACCTATGACAAAGTTTGCCCAAAACCGATATTCCACAACCATTTAACAAATTAAATAAACAGCTGTATGACTGGCTAAACTTCAGTATGGCATATTAAAAGTGGTTTTTCTTTTTTGAGATGGAATTTCACTCTTGTTGCCCAGGCTGGAGTGCAATGGTGCCATCTCAGCTCACTGCAACCTCCGCCTCCGGGGTTCAAGCAATTCTCCTGCCTCAGCCTGCCCAAGTAGCTGGAATTACAGGCATGTGCCACCAAGCCCAGCTAATTTTGTATTTTTAGTAGAGATGGGGTTTCTCCATGCTGGTCAGGCTGGCCTCGAACTCTTGACATCAGGTGATCCTCCCACCTTGGCCTCCCAAAGCGCCGGGGTTTACAGGTATGAGCCACCACGCCCAGCCTAAAAGTGTTTTAAACTGCAAGTTGAATAGATACCATAATGAATTTCAGTGGACCCTAACTTTGTTTTTTTTGAGACAGAGTCTTGCTCTGCTGCCCAGGCTGGAGTGCAGTGGCATCATCTCAGCTCACTGCAACCTCTGCCTCCCAGGTTCGTGATTCTCCTGCCTCAGCCTCCTGAGTAGCTAGGACTACAGGCGCAAGCCACCATTCCCAGCTAATTTTTATATTTTTAGTAGAGACGGGGTTTCACCATGTTGGCCAGACAGGTTTCGAACTCCTGGCCTCACGGGATCCACCCGCCTCAGCCTCCCAAAATGCTGGGATTACAGGCGTGAGCCACTGCTCCCGGCCCCCTGACGATTATTTTTCAGTGAAAAACTATCATTGCATCCCTAGAGAAAAGGAAAACTATTATGTAAATTTTTCTTCTGAAGAGCTAGAGTTTGAACTTCAGGTAAAAGAACAACAGTAGACAATAGAGTTGTGCTTTTTTTTTTAAATATAAGAATGTGGCCAGGAGTGGTGCCTCATGCCTGTAATCGCAGCACTTTGGGAGATAAAGGCGTGAGGATCACCTGAGGTCAGTAGTTCAAGACCATCCTGGCCAACATGGCAAAACCCTGTCTCTACTAAAAATACAAATAGGTACCTGTAATCCCAGCTTCTCAGAAGCTGAGACATAAGAATCGCTTGAATATGGGAGGTGGAGCTTGTAGCAGTGAGCCGAGATCGCGCCACTGCACTCCAGCCTGAGGGACAGAGCAAGACTGTCTCCAAGAAAAAAAAAGGAAGAATGTGACACATTAAAAACATGCTAAGGAACTGGTTTGTCAGAACTGAAGATGCTCTAATTCATTCATATTTTTAAGTAAAAAGTGAGAAATGAAAAAAAGAAGCTGGTTTTAGAAAAGAGCATATGATTTCAGTTTCGTAAAAGTCTTCAACAAAAAACAAGAATAAAGTTCTTAAGACAAGGTTAGGGGTTACAAAAAGTTAAATTATAGTGACAATTTCTGACTAGGCCAGGCTCAGACTCGTTTAACAAAGAGCTGGTACCATCTTTTTCCCTGAAATACTTATCTGCTCTGGTCAGACAGTGTCTTTACTACCCTACCCTTTCCCCCCAACTCTCCGCAACATATATGTAATTTTAAGCTCTATGCCCATGCCTGTTGTTTCCACAGTTCCTTGCAAAATGCTATACAAGTCCACTAGGTACTTAACAAGCACAAGATAATAGGTAGAGTCAAAGCTATTACTGTTATCTGTAATAACCCAAATAAGAAAACCAGCAAAGGCCGGGTGCAGTGGCTCACGCCTGTAATCCCAGCACTTTTGGAGGCCAAGGCGGGTGGATCCCCTGAGGTCAGGAGTTCAAGATCAGCCTGGGCAACACACTGAAACCCCATCTCCACTAAAAATACAAAATTAGCCGGGTGTGGTGGCACATGCCTGTAATCCCAGCTACTCAGGAGGCTGAGGCAGGAGAATTGCTTGAACCTGGGAAGCGGAGGATGCGGTAAGCCTAGATCGCACCATTGCATTCCAGCCTGGGCAGCAAGGGTAAATCTCCGTCTCATCAAAAAAAAAAAAAAAAGAAAAGAAAACCAACAAAAAGCTGGGCACACTGGCTCACACTTGTACTCTCAGCAGTTTGGGAGGCTGAAGCAAAAAGATCATTTGAACCCAGGAGTTCAAGAGCAGCCTAGGCAACATATGACATCTCATTGCTACAAAAAATTTAAAAATTAGCCAGCTGTGCATGGTGTCACACACCTGTAGTCCCAGCTACTCAGGGGGCTGAGGTAGGAGGATCACTTGAGCCCATGAGGTCGAGGCTGCAGTGAGCCATGATTGTGCCACTGCACTCCAGCTTGAGTCACAGAGTGATACCCTGCCTCAAAAAAAGAAAAGAAGAAAAAAAAGAAGGAAGCTAGAAAGGAAGGAAACGAAAGAAAGAAAAGAAAACCAGAACAACCTAAAGGTGTAAGCCTATTTGCCACTTAAGTGAGGATGGGCGCAATGGCTCACGCCTGTAATGTGGCATTTTAGGAGACCGAGGCGGGCGGATCACCTTAAGTCAGGAGTTCAAGACCAGCCTGGCCAACATGGTGAAACCCCATCTCTACTGAAAATACAAAAATTGGCCAGGCGTGGTGGTTGGCACCTGTTATCCCAGCTACTTGGGAGGCTGAGACAGGAGAATCGCTTGAACCCGCGAGGTGGAGGTTGCAGTGAGCAGATATAGTGACACTGCAAGGCAGCATGGACCACAGAGCTCCATCTCAAAAAAAAAAAAAAGTCTATGAAGGTCAGATGACATTAGTTTCAGATTAGTCTCAAGTCTACTGTAGGTTGGTAGATAGCTTCAAACATTTTGGCAGCTTCACCTATAAATGATATATAATATTAAATTCAAAACATATTTCATGTGATATTGAATATTCAATCTTTACAGATTTAAGGTGGTTTAAAACCTACATTTTACTCAACATCAAATGTTAGGTGCCCTCTCCCTTTTATTTTTACCTCTTTTGACATGACCTCTGAAATATTGTATGATTCATCTTCTCTTCCTCTTTTTTTCCTCATAACTATAAAAAAAAATTTTATTTTTGATAGCAATTAAAATAGAAATATAAACGCATATTCTTCAAAACTAGAATAAGGATATTTACCTGGCTTCTCTTCACTTGCATCAATTGAATTTTTACCCTACAAAACAAGGATTCAGAATATTGATTTTATTAAGGACCTTCATAGTATTATACGTTAAAAGGCACTGATTAACTTGAGAAAAAATATGTTTCCTGCAATTGAGCCACATCCACAATTTTTCACTATTATACTTACCTACATGTAATATTTTTCTGTATTTCCCTACTATAACTTGTTCATAATCTCTGCTTTTTCCCAAGGGCTCTACTTCTGTCCATTTTTTTCCATTTAGAAGAGAAATTTCAAAATTAAACATAGTTGGCATTTCGTTTGTTTGTTTTTTGGAGACGGAGTTTCACTCTTGTCGCCCAGGATAGTGTGCACTGGTACAATCTCGGCTCATTGCAACCTCCGCCTGCCAGGTTCAAGAGATTCCCCTGCTTCAGCCTCCAGAGTAGTGGGGATTACAGGCACCTGCCACCACGCCCGGCTAATTTTTGTATTTTTAGTAGAGATGGGGTTTCACCACGTTGGCCAGCTAGTCTTGAATTTCTGACCTCAGGTGATCCGCCCGCCTAGGCCTCCCCAAGTGCTGGGATTACAGGCGTTGAGCCACTGCACCCAGCCCATAGTTGGCATTTTTATTTAGAAATACCATGTACATCTTGGCCGGGCGCGGTGGCTCAAGCCTGTAATCCCAGCACTTTGGGAGGCAGAGGCGGGCAGATCATGAGGTCAGGAGATCACGACCATCCTGGCTAACATGGTGAAACCCTGTCTCTACTAAAAATACAAAAATAGGTATTTTTGTAGGGTAGGGTATTGAAGGAATACCCTTCAATAGGTAGGGTATTGAAGGAATATTCATTGTGAATGAAATTCATACATTAAATATAACCCAAAGCAGAAATAAAAGAGAATACTAATGGAAAATTATTAGTGAGGAAGGTAAGAGAAATGAGATGTTAAGAAACAGTTTCTGGCCAGGTGCAGTGGCTCACACCTATAATCCCAGCACTTTAGGAGGACTAGGTAGTAGGATTGCTTGAAGCCAGGAGTACAAGACCAGCTTGGGCAACAAAGCAAGATCCCCACCTCTATAAAAAATGCGAAAATTAGCTGAGCATGGTGGTGTGCACCTGTAGTCTCAGCTACTCAGGAGGCTGAGGTGGGAAGATGGCTTGACCCCAGGAGTTCAAAGCTGTAGTGAGCTACTATGGTGCTACTGGACTCTAGCCTGGGCTACTGAGACATCACCTCTAAAAAAATTTTTTAAGTTTCAAAATAGTTGACGCCCTTATGAAAAAAGCAGAGGGGAAAAAAATCAAAACCCTGGTATAAAAAGTTAGGTGGAATAAAGTGAAGGATATATTAAATTAACAGGTTAAAGAGCAGGGAATAAATGACTAAGCCAGTAAAATTGTCATATAAATAAAAACATGTTCTTCAAAACCCCTAGGTAAGGCCAGTTGTGCTAGCTCATGCCTGTAATCCCAGCACTTTCAGAGGCCAAGGTATGGGTGTGGGTGTGGGGGATAGCTTAAGCCAAGGGGTTCGAGACCAGCCTGGGCAACATAGTGAAGCTCTGTCTCTATGAAAATAAAAATCTGAAAAGCCCTAGGTAAGTCTCTGAAATTAGCAAGTGAGTCAAGGATCAGAGGGTTTTTTTTTTGTTTTTTTGTTTTTTTTTTTGAGACAGAGTCTTGCTCTGTCACCCAGGCTGGAGTCCAGTAGCATGATCTCAGCTCACTGCAACCTCGGCCTCCTAGGTTCAAGCAATTCTCCTGTGTCAGCCTCCCGAGTAGCTGGGATTACAGGTACCCGCCATCATGCCTGGCTAATTTTTGTATTTTTAGTAGAGACTGGGTTTCACCATGTTGGCCAGGTTGGTCTCCAGCTCTTGACCTCAGATGATCGGCCCACCTTGGCCTCCCAAAGTGCTGGGATTGCAGGCGTGAGCCACCGTGCCTGGCCCATTTTTATTTTTTAATACTCTCTCTCTCAGTGACTCAGTATTACCAGTTTTATGTATTTATTTATTTATTTATTTAGGAACAGAGTCTCCCTCTGTGGCCCAGACTAGAGTGCGGTGATGCAATCTTGGCCCACTGCAACCTCTGCCTACCGTGGTTCAAGTAATACTCGTGCCTCAACCTCCCAAGCAGCTGGGACTACAGGCACACACCACCACGCCCAGCTAATTTTTTGTATTTTTAGCAGAGACAGGGTCTCATCATGTTGACCAGGCTGGTCTCGAACTCCTTGCCTCAAGGAATCCATCTGCCTCAGCCTCCCAAAGTGTTGGGATTATAGGCGTGAGCCACCACACCTAGCAGTATTACCAGTTTTAAATAATGGGTTTTGTTGCAAAACAGTCTGCAAAATACTTTATCAGGCATTTTAACATCACCATTAACTAGTCTAAGAATCAAATAACTGGACTTAATCTCAGCACTTTGGGTGGCCAAGGCAAGTGGATCACAAGATCAGGAGTTCAAGACCAGCCTGGCCAAGATGGTGAAACCCTGTCTCTTCTAAAAATACAAAAATTAGCCGGGTGTGCTGGCAGGTGCTTGTAATCCCAGCTACTTGGGAGGCTGAGGCAGAGAATTGCTTCAACCCAGGAGACAGAGGTTGCAGTGAGCCGAAATCACGCCACTGCATCCCAGCCTGGGTGACAGAACGAGACTCCGTCTCAAAAAAAAAATAAATAAATAAAAGGCAGTTTAGCACAGAAGCTAAGTAGAAGCTCTTAAACTAATCCTGGGTTCAAATCCGTAATTTTCAGCAAATTAGAGTCAGCTCTCATTATCTGCAGTACTTGTGGTTCGATAAAATCACTATGACTATTGACTTATTGCCCCTAGGAAAAATACAAGCTTGGGTCTCTGACTCTGGTTATGACATTTTCAACCAAACGATACACAACCCTGTTTTATTTGTGTTTCTGTTTTTAAAGATATCTTATTTAATATATATGTTGATTAATATTGAACTCAGGGCCAGCTGGGTGCAGTGGCTCTCGCCTGTAATCCTAGCACTTTGGGAGGCTGAGGCGGGTGGATCATGAGGTCAGGAATTCGAAACCAGCCCACCCAATATGGTGAAACCCTGTCTCTACTAAAAATACAAAAATTAGCCAGGCATGGTGGCGCGCACCTGTAGTCCCAGCTACTCGGGAGGCTGAGGCAGAAGAATTGCTTGAACCCAGGAGGTGGAGGTAGCAGTGAGCTAAGATTGCACCACTGCACTCCAGCCTGGGCGACAGAGCAAGACTCTGTCTCAAAAAAATAAAATAAAATAAAATAAAATAAATAAATAAATATCGAACTCAGGGCCAACAGCACTGTACCTCATGCCTCAATGAAGCTTACCCAAGACATACTTTCTCCATATGGCACAGCCTTTTTGTACTTAGAAACACTAGACAGCACTTTGGTACAATAGTTGGGGGCCATTTTAACAGCAAAATCACCATGAAAAAGCACAAAAAAACGCAAAAGTTATGGTGCTAAATAAAGACCATGAAAAGGATATATGCTTGACATACATATGGTAGCAGAAAACAAAGAACAGCAACCCATGTTTGAGCTGAGCTTGGAACATATGTATTGGAGGACTAAAATTCTTTGCTGCTCTGAACATAAGCATATCCAAAAATGACCATGACGGTGTCAGGAATCTTGACTCTGGGGTTACAAATAAATGTAAGTGAGTAGGCGAATTCACAAATATAGAATCCTTGAATATGATTGTTCTTTATCTCCTTGCATCAGCCTATTTATGTAAAATGGGGGAAAAAAGTACCTCTACCTAAAAAGAACTGTTGTGAGAGTAAGGGAAAACAGGCTGGGCGTGGTGGCTCATGCCTGTAATCTGAGCACTTTGGGAGGCCGAGGTGGGCAGATCACAAGGTCAGGAGATGGAGACCATCGTGGCTAACACAGTAAAACTCTGTCTCTACTGAAAATACAAAAAATTAGCCAGGCATGGTGGCGGGCGCCTGTAGTCCCAGCTACTCGGGAGGCTGAGACAGGAGAATGGCGTGAACCCGGGAGGCAGAGCTTGCAGTGAGCCGAGATTGCGCCACTGCACTCCAGCCTGGGTGACAGAGCGAGTCCCCGTCTCAAAAAAGAAAAAAAAAATAGAGTAAGAGAAGACATGATAGCACACCTGACCCACAGTATGTATTCAATAAATTATTTCTCTTTTCACTAGCAAAACTTCATTACAGGTTTCAAAGAAGGTGGCCACTTACAAAATGCCTTGAAGTTTAAATTTGCAGATTCTTTCCAATTAAGAAAGTCAAATTTTGCCAACGTCCAAAATAATCCATAGAATAAGAAACTAAAGTGGACCATACTTTGGCTCTTTCTCCATTTCTTAAATAGTGAGGAACAGATTTTACATGTTTCTGCATTGCTTGTAACAAAGTTAGGTTTATCACTAAAGAAACTTAAAATTAAACAGATGATCAAAAAAGTCAGAAGAATACAAAAGTATTTCTTCAATATTTAAATGACATAAAAAATATTCCGGCTGGCTATATTACCTTTTTAACTTTTAAAGACTCCTTTTTTCTCTCCAATTTTTCTTTCTTCTTCTGTTCCTGTAAGACAATTTTTTCTTATGTCACAAGTGGAAAGTGCAACATTTAAAAAAAAAACGCATATCAATTCTCAAATAACTTATGTTTACAATGAGAAACTAAGGTCTATCATAATTAAAAACCAGGGAGGAACTTGTACTTCAAGCCTTTATGGACTAATGGGACAGATTTAGCCTCCTGCCTTAAACAACTAAAATCCAGATAAAATTTATTAAACAATGGTTTTCAGACAACATGCAGTAACGGACTGTAAACACTGACAAAACGGAAACAAGGTTAATCTTCTGACTGCCCAGCTTACTGCCTGATACAATTTTAAAGTACAAATAATGGAGAAAAATCCAAACAGAGCCCAACAGTCTCTTTGTGTTGAGGAGACAGAATCCAAAACTTAAGAGCAGTAGCATTCCCAGGGTCAAGTACCAGAGAGGACAAAGCTGCACAAAGGCAGCTGTTATCTCTCTCTCAGGCTGAGTACTGGTAAGTGCATGGTAACCAAGGCCAGGAGAAGAGTCACCAGAAAGAAGCAGGTGGAACCTCTCATGTTCCAAGGGGTCAGGCATAATAAGGTATACCTCACATTCTCTCAGCCAAAGTAGAAAGTCCTCTTAATATAAAGGGCATCAAGTAGAGTGCTCAGAAAAGGGATCAACTTATTCCTAGACTAAAAGCTATTCTAGACATACTCTTACAAATTTTTTAAAGACACCAAAAATTCAAACCATTTCCAAGAGGTGATGAAAGGGGTAGATGCTGTGTAACTCATTAAGTTGAATATTTGTTTTTCCATTTGTTTTACTTTACCATAAAAAAGTAATAAAAGGGTTTCAAACAAAGGAAAAAGGAGATTTGACAAATACAGCAAAATTTAAATTGATAATTTTTAAATGTGGGTGATGGGGACACCGGGACTTACTGTATTCTCTCAATTTGCACAAGTTTTTAAATCTTCATAACAGTCTAGTGGAAAGACAAACAATAAATACAATAAATGATGTATATCAGATGAAAAGTGCAATGGGAAGAACAGAACAAGGTAAAGAGAATCAGGTGTGTTAGCAACTTTCTTAAAATTGTGAGGGCAGGTCTCATCTAGAAACCATTTAAGTCAGGGCTTGAAGATGAAGTTAAGCCATGCAGTTATTTAGAGGAAGAAGGTTCCAGGCATAAAATAGCAAGGGCAAAAGCCCAAGACAGGAAACACATCTGGAGACAGGTCTGAAAGGTAATGGGATTGAGGGAGGCAGTCAAATTGCTTACAGACATATAGACATTATCAGGACTTTCACTTTTCAGAAACAACATAAGCTAGGAGACAGTGAAACATCTTTAAAGTACTCCAAGAAATAAAGTACTAAAGAAAAAAAATTCTTTACCCAGTAAAAACGTATTTCAAAAATGAAGGTAAGTGAAGACATTCAGACATATGAAAGCTAAAAGAACCCATCACCAACAGAAAATGCAAATGAACCTATAATAACAGAAAACAGATCAATTGGCTATCTGTGGATAGAACATGGGGTAGGGACGGGCGAGAAGAATTATAAATAAGCAGAAAGAATTTTTTGGAATCAGTGGGTATGTCCACTATCATGATTGTTATGTCTTCACAAGTATATCCATATATCAAACTTAGGGAATTGTACATTTTAAATATGTGCAGTTTAGTGTATGTCAATTACACCCCAATAACGACATTTCTTAATGGAATCCTTCTCAGGAATAAAAAAAATAACCTACAGAAAAACATGACATGAATGAATCTCAAAAATACACTGAGCAAAAGTAACAAGACAAAGAGTGCATATGTGCAAGAATATTGAGAAAAAAACAAACTCAGTTTCTCCCTACACACTCAACAATCAACACAAAAGACTTCTGTGACCCAATGTGTGGGGGTTTTCCCTATACACCAAACAAGCATTTCTGCAGTGACACCAGCTGGGTGTCCTCTATTGTAATTCAATTCTGACACTATCTACGGGGTGAAAGCACCATACCCCATAGGTTGAGGGTTCAGTCCCCAAGACTTTTAACTACCAGTTCCAGATGCCAATCGCAAGGCCCAAGTCGCCTTACCTGTGCTTCTTACTGAATAGCTATAAATCAGGGTTCCCACAAGCCCCTCTTTGGGTTTGACTAATTTGCTAGAGGAGCTTACAGAACTCAAAGAAACATTAAAGTTTATTGGTTTATTATAAAGAATATGACAGTCCAGGCGCAGTGGCTCACCCCTGTAATCCCAGCACTTTGGGAGGCCAGGGTAAGCAGATCACTTGAGCCCAGGAGTTCCAGACAAGCCTCGGCAACATGGCAAAACTGTCTCTACAAAAAATACAAAAATAAGACAGACATAATGGTGTGCTCCTGTAGTCCCAGCTACTCGGGAGGCCGAGGTGGGAGGGCTGCTTGAACCCAGGAGTCAGAGGTTGCAGTGAGCTGAGATGGTGCACTGCACACCAGCCTGGGCAACAGAGTAAGACTCTGTCTCCAAAAAAAAGAAAGAAAGAAAGAAAGATTACAACATATTCAGAGGAACACCAGAGAAAGAGATGTATAGAACAAGGTATGGAGAAAGAAGCGCAGAGCTTCCATGCCTTTTCTGGATGCGCCATCCTCTCCAGGAACCTCCATGTGTTCAGCTATCCAGAAGTTCTCCAAACCCTGTCCCCTTTTGGGGTTTTTTTTATTTATTTATTTTTGAGGCAGGGTCTCACTCTGTCATCCAGGCTGGAGTCCAGGGGTGCAATCTCGGCTCACTGCAACCTCCGCCTCCTGGGTTCAAGCGATCCTCCTGCCTCAGCCTTCTGAGTAGCTGGGCTTACAGGCACACACCACCATGACCGGCTAATTTTTATATTTTTGGTAGAGACGGGTTTTCACTATGTTACTCAGGCTGGTGTCGAACTCCTGGGCTCAAGTGATCTGTCTGCCTTGGCCTCCCAAAGTGCTGGGATTACAGGCGTGAGCCACTGCGCCCAGCCTGTTTTATTTTTGAGACAGGGTCTTGCTCTGTCACCCAGGCTAGAATGCAGTGGTGCCATCACAGTTCACTGCAGCCTCAATCTCCTTGGCTCAAGCCAACCTCCTGCCTCAGCCTCCCAAGTAGCTGGGACTAGAGGCACATGCCACCTTACCTAGCTAATTTTTCTATTAGAGATAGGGTTTTGCCATATTACCCAGCCTGGTCTCAAACTTCTGGGCTCAAGCAATCCACCCACCTAGGCTCCCCAAAGTGCTGGGATTACAGATGTGAGCCACACCCAGCCCTTTTGGGTTTTTAATGAAGACCTCATAACATAGACGTGATTGATTCAATCGTGACCACTGGTGAACAAGTTAACTTTCAGTCTCTTTTCCTCAAAGTTGAGGGTGAGGCTAAATCCCAACCCTCTAATCCAGGTTTTGTCTTTCTTAGGCTCCCATCCTGAAGCTACCTAAGGGCAGCTAGCCATTGATCATTAGCATTAAAAAAAAAAAAACAAAAAAAAAAACACTATTACTTTGAAGATTCCAAGGATTTCAAGAGTTGTATACCAGGAAATGGTGATGAAGACCAACTATTTACTCACTAGCACAATACCATGATTTCATTTATACAATTTTCTAGGAAAAAACAATACTGGTCTATAGTGACAGAAAGCAAATCAGTAGTTGCTGGACACCAGCCATGGGGATTACTGTCAGCACAAGACAATTTTTTGGAGTTCATGGAAGTGCACTGTATCTTGATTGTGCTGGTGGTTACACAGATCTATATATTTACTAGTCAAAACTCAGCAAACCGTACACTTAAAATCTGTCCATTTTACTGTATATAATATACACTTCAATAAAGCTATTTTTAAATTTTTTTAAGCTTTCACTTGTAGTCAGTTACATATACATACCTCTAATTGTTGCTGTTCCATTTTCGTCAATAAAAATTTGGAGTATATATTGCTTTTTTCAAGCAAATGTTGAAGTCTACGGTACCGAATTTCTGTCGACTCTCTATCCCAAGACATGCGAGCCTATCCAAAGAGAAAATTTCCATAATTATGAACACTTTCTGACATACCTTAATTTTTTTGGCATAAAGTTTAATAAAAATGGCTAAAATAACATTTTTTAAACCAAACACTTTCAAACCAAAAACTGGAACAAATAACTGTTAAAAAAAAAATAGTTTTTGGGTTTAACAGGCAATCTGATAGATGCAATTCGTATATCAAAATATTATAATTTCAAATATTGAACACATGGTTTCTGGCACTACTGAGTTGGAAGGTCCATTTAAAAAACAATTGAAGGCCGGGTGCGGTGACTCACACCTGTAATCCCAGCACTTTGGGAGGCCAAAGCAGGCGGATCACCTGAGGTCGGGGGTTCGAGACCAGCCGGACCAACATGGAGAAACCCCATCTCTACTAAAAATACAAAATTAGCCAGGCGTGGTGGTGCATGCCTGTAATCCCAGCTACTTGGGAGGCTGAGGCAGGAGAATCGCTTGAACCCGGGGGAGGCAGAGGCTGCAGTGAGCCGAGATCATGCCACTGCACTCCAAACAAGAGCAAAACTCCGTACCAAAAAAAAAAAAAAAAAAATTGGGGCCAGGCACGGTGGCTCACGCCTGTAATCCCAGCACTTTGGGAGGCCGAGGAGGGTGGATCACCTGAGGTCAGGAGTTTGAGACCATCCTGGCCAAAATGGTGAAACCCCATCTCTACTAAAACTATAAAAATTAGCAGGACGTGGTGGCGCATGCCTGTAGTCCCAGCTACTCAGGAGGCTGAGGCAGGAGAATTGCTTAAACCCGGGAAGCGGAGGTTGCAGTGAGCTGAGATGGCACCACTGCACTCCAGCCTGGGTGACAGAGTGAGACTCCGTCCGGAAAAAAAAAAAAAGGTATGTGTAATTTGCTAAAACATTGATGTTGTGGTTCCGTGTTATTATATTACCTTGTTATGTACAGATAAGGAAAATTTTTGATTAATTTTGCACTTGACCCTCATAAAAAGTGATTGCCTAGGTGACACTAGAGAATTCTAAGACAAGTTTTCAGAGTCTCTCCCTATTTGAGATTAATAAACAAGTTGATTTGGATAGAACATTTTAGAAAAATACTACCAACACAATTCATCCTAACAATCAAAACAGACATCTAGCCAAGATTAACACCCCCACCCCGTTTTTTAAGGCATGGTCTCATGCTGTAATTGGTGCAATTGTGGCTTACTGCAGCCTCCAAATCCCGGGCTCAAACCACCCTCCCACCTCAGCCTCCCAAGTAGCTGGGACTCTAGGCAGATGCCACCATGCCCTGTTAATTTTTTGTATTTTTTTTTTTTGTAAAGACAGGGTTTCACCATATTGCTAAGGCAGGTCTCCAACTCCTAAACTCAAGAGATTCGTCTGCCTTGTCCTCCCAAAGTACTGGGATTACAGGCATGTGCCACCATGCCCAACCAAGATTACCAATTCTGTAACATGAATCCAGCCTAGTAAATCAACAAACATGTACTGCAACAATTATATAAATTATGTAACTGGTAGAAGACAGAAAGTCTGATTTATACTACAGATGAGACATTAGTGTAATATCTGAAAACAACAAGTATTAAAGACATATACATAGCAGTAAACTGTACAGTACTATCTAAATCCTGAAAAATTGTAAGAATTACTAAAACTGGAGAAGTCAGATTTCAGGAAATAGATGACATCTGAGGGGTCTGAAGGATGGATAAATGAGAGCAGAAAAACTCAAGTTTTGTCAATTACTGTAGAAGTTCCTGCTTTAAGCAACACTGGCCTCAGCAACAGCACTAAAAATCACACTTAAGTTAACTTTAGAATTAAAAAGATTCTAAATTTTATAGATTAGATAGTAGATATGTTTCATTTTATACAAACTCTTGACTTAAAAAGTCTAGTGGCAGATTTTTTAGTATTTTGTTTTCTCAACTAAACCAATTCCTCTACTTTTCAACAAGGATTAGTAAAAACACAAAGTCAACCAATAAAATCTAACTGCCCCTTTCCCCAGTAATTGGTGGTTTCAACTTAAGAGGAAAGTAATTGAGCATTGTTTACAGCGTGTTTGAAATGGGGGATATGAGGCTGGGCGCGGTGGCTCACGCCTGTAATCCCAGCACTTTGGGAGGCTGAGGCGGGCGGATCCCGAGGTCAGGAGATTGAGACTGTCCTGGCTAACACGGTGAAACCCTGTCTCTACTAAAAATACAAAAAATTAGCCGCGTGTGGTTGCAGGCGCCTGTAGTCCCAGCTACTTGGGAGGCTGAGGCAGGAGAATGGCGTGAACCCGGAAGGCAGAGCTTGCAGTGAGCCGAGATCGCGCCACTGCACTTCAGCCTGGGCAACAGAGCGAGACTCCATCTCAAAAAAAAAAAAGAAAAGAAATGGGGGTATGAATTCATTTTTATACTCTAAATAATGCCCTAGCACTTGGGTAGTTTTGCTGCTCCAGCTTATCAATATCTCTAAGATATCATTTTATATTGCCTTACATTTTCCTAGCTATTACATCATCACTATAGCTTTCTTTCAAAATATATTTCTTTTTCTTTTTTGAGATGGAGTCTCACTCTGTTGCCCAGGCTGGAGTGCAGTGGCACAATCCTGGCTCACCTCTGCCTCCGCCTCCCGGGTTCAAGCAATTACCTGCCTCAGCCTCCCCAGTATAGCTGGGACTAGAGGCACCTGCCACCACACCCCGCTAATTTTTGTATTTTTAGTAGAGACGGGCTTTCACCATCTTGGCCAGGCTGCTCTTGAACTGACCTCGTGGTCCACCTGCCTCAGCCTCCCAAAGTGCTGGGATTATAGGTGTGAGCCACCGTACCCGGCATCAAAATATATTTCTATTATAAAATCAGTGACTACAGTAAGATTCTAAGAATGGACCTAACAAAAGTAATGCATACTCATTACAGAAAAACTAAATGTCAAAAAATATATAAATCACCCATAATCCCACCTACACAGATAATTCTTAATATCTTGAACTCAATTTTCAGTTCTTTTAGGACAGAATTTCTTTTACTATTACCAGTATACTACTGTGGTTACAATACGCAACTACTGAGGTGAATATGAAAACAGGGAGATGAAAATTACTTACACAATATATGGATTCTTAAATTTTTAACTTTTAAAATTTAAGTTCAGTTAAAATAACGTGGGTTTAACTTAGATATAGTTGATACCTTAAATCCTGTACAGAATTAGCACTTTTTCTTTTTTCTGAGACAGGGTCTCGCTCTATCACCCAGGCTGGAGTGCAGTGGTGAGATCTCGGCTCAATGCAACCTGCGCCTCCCAGGCTCAAGCGATAATCCTCCTGCCTCACCCTCTTGAGTAGCTAGGACTATAGGCGCGTGCCACCATGCCGGCTAGTTTTTTAATTTTTTGTAGAGATGGGGTTTCACCCTGTTACCCAGGCTGGTCTTAACCCCTGGGCTCAAGCGATCTGCCCCGCCTCAGCCTCCCAAAGTGCTGGGATTACAGGCATGAGCCACCGCGCCTGGCCAGCACATATTTTTAAAACAACTAAATACAGCCAGGCATGGTGGCTCACGCCTGTAATCCTGGCACTTTGGGAGGTCGAGGAAGGCAGATCACGATGTCAGGAGTTTGAGACCAGGCCGGCCAATATGTTGAAACCCCGTCTTTACTAAAAATACAAAAAAAATTAGCTGGGCGTGGTGGCACGCGCCTGTAGTCCTAGCTACTTGGGAGGCTGAGGCAGAAGAATCGCTTAAACCCGGCAGGTGAAGGTCGCAGTGAGCCAAGATCACGCCACTGCACTCCAGCCTGGGTGACAGAGGGAGACTCCGTCTCAAAACAAACAAACAAGCAAAAAAAACCTAAATACTTGCCTGGTGCTCCTGGAAAAATTTTTCCTAAAAAAAAAAATCAGCTGGGCATGGTGGCTAATGCCTGTAATCCCAGCACTTTAGGAGGTCAAGACGGGCGGATCACCTGAGGTTGGGAGTTCGAGACCAGCCTGACCAACATGGAGAAACCCCATCTCTACTAAAAATACAAAATTAGCCAGGCTTGGCGGCACATGCCTGTAATCCCAACTACTCAGGAGGCTGAGGCAGGAGAATTGCTTGAACCCCGGAGGCAGAGGTTGCAGTGAGCCGAGACTGCGCCATTGCACTCTAGCCTGGGCAACAAGAGTGAAACTCTGTCTCAAAAAAATAAAAATAAAAATAAAAATCACTAAAGCTTTAAGATGCCATCATGGAAAAAAATAATATACAATTAATATTAAAATAATACCATGTAAGTGGTTAATCCTTAAACCTGGTCTTCTGTATTTCAAATCTTCCTATCACTGTTTTTTCTTTATTTATCAATTTCATGATTATATTACGGTAAATTGCAACTCCATCTATTAAAAGCACTGAGTGCCTGGCAGGAAACAACTCTGGGTAACTACAGTACAGAGTATGCCAATGGACACCGAGGGCAGAAATTCCTCATTATCTACCCCATTATCTCTCCCAACACCAATCCCAGATTTTTTATTGGGGGGTGGGAGGAGTTCTATTTTAGCCTACACATATCATGATCCTTTTACCTCTCCAAGAAATCTCCTGACTCCAACTATTCCCCCTCCTCCACTTCACAGGCACTATCAGTACTCAAATCTCCTAGACTAACAATGACTTCTTTTAAAGGGAAATACATGTGAAAAGTCAAAGAAAATAACTGTAGCCAATGAATGTCAAAGTCATTTTCTAGGTTCCTCACAAACCTTAGGATTTCCTAAAGCCAAATGCTTCTCATTAAGGAACTTAAGCTAGCTCTTCCTCTGTTAAGTACTTCTAAATACATGCCCATACAGACTGTATTCTCCCAAAAGAAAAGGAATCTCTACCTGTGCATAGTTAATTGTTTGGCCTCCAAAGACATGTTTATTAATCTCAAGTAGGTAGAGACTCTGAAAACTTTTCTTAGAATTTTCTAGTGTCATCTAGGCAATCACTTTTTATGAGGGTCCAGTGCAAAAAATAATCAAAAACTTTCCTTATCTGTACATAACAAGACAATGTAATACGAAACCACAACACTAATGTTTTAGCAAATTACACACTTATATTAAGATTGAAAACGGCTACATACTTTTTTTTTTGAGACGGAATCTTGCTCTGTCACCCAGGCTGGAGTGCAGTGATGCCATCTCGGCTCACTGCAACCTCTGCCTCCTGGGTTCAAGCAATTCTCCTGCCTCAGCCTCCTGAGTAGTTGGGACTGCAGGTATGCGCCACCACATCTGGCTAATTTTTATATTTTTAGTAGAGACGGGGTTTCACCATGTTGGCCAAACTGGTCTCGAACTCCTGACCTCAGGTGATCCACCCGCCTCGGCCTCCCAAAGTGCTGGGATTACAAGCGTGAGCCACCATGCCAGGCCATGAAAACAGCCATATACTTTTTTAATGGAAGGATTAAAAATTACTCTTTAGGTTCTATGATGCATAATTATTAAATTTAGGACTAACTGCAAAATGTTTGTTCATAAGCTTAAAAATGTCATTAAAAGTAGCAGGTCATTTGACCTCAGCAAATATATAAAATACTACATATTTGACTTATCTTTTTTAAATGTGAAGTGTTTCTTCCTTGAATGAATAATACCTTCTGAAAATGTACTGTTGTCATATCTCAGGCATATCTTTCTTTAAATGCTATTTCCCTACCCAACACTCATAATGGGTATATGAAGAAACAAGATAAAACTGAAGATACATTACTCAAGACAAAATTATCACATCCCTCTTAGACTTCTTCAGTTGATTCCATTCTGGGCACTTGCCCCAGAATTTATACTTTATAATTCATCTGGTTATATAGCTAATAAGTATATTTAGTATATGTATATAATCTTGTATATTATAAAATACCATTTTATCATCGTTAGCTATTCAATAAGCACTTACTGATTGCCTACTATGTGCCAGGTGCAAAGCCTACAAAAACAAAACAGCAAGTGATGCACCCTCAAGAAACAAAGTGAGAAAGAATCAAAAAGTAGTATGAAGTATTTATCATTACTTATTTGGTCATGGTAAATTCTGTGTAATAAAGTACTATGAAAATTCAAAGAATGAGAAAAGGTGGTTCAGGTCAGACCTCTCAATTCTGTTAATTCACATCTACCCTGAAGCAAAAAGTATTGATGTTACTTAAAGAAAATTTGTTAATATATTACCTTAACTGGTTATAGTCAACCAGAGATCATCAGTAATAACGGAAGGAGTATTACTGGAGTGGAACTATAGCATGGTAGTTAAAAAATGTGCATTCTAGAACCACATGGCCTACACTGGAATGTTAGCTCTGCCATTTACCAACTGTGGCACCCAAACAACCTCTATGTGCCTCAGTTTCCTCATCTGTAAAATAAGATGACTAATAAAACCTATTTGGTTGTGTAGTTCAATAATAGCAATTGTTTATACTAGTAATTAAACTAGTAAGTTTAATAGCAGTAATAGTAATAATGAACATCTACTTTACAGAATAGTTGAGGATTCAATGAGTAAATACATATAAAGCATTCAAAACAATGCATGACTCCTAATAAATGTTCAAGAAGTATTAACAATGCTGACAAAAAAATTATTGTTGACATAACAGGGAACCAACGGCCTCATTACTCGTTTTTGGAATGCATTATTTTCCAACTTAAGTAGTTTTATAATCATGAGTTAATTCACTATTATTAAGGACAGAAATTCTGCAGGCAGCCTGAGTTGAAATTTGACTTCAACACTTACTATGTGCCCTTCTCCCTCAGTTTCTTCATTTGTAAATGAAAATAACAAAAAATAACCTATATCATAATATCGGTAGAGTTTAATAAATTAATAAAGCACAAGAAAACCACGTACTAGGCAGTACTTAAGAGTCAACGATCATTCTTTTTCTTGCATATGAATCAAGCAGCAGGGTGGGGCTTTAGAATAAACAAGAATTTTTCAGGTTAAAAACTGTTTTTAGTAACTTACAAAATGCTCTCTACAAGAAAACTACAGCAACTTGTCATTGAAAAAGTACGGCACATTTTTAGCTAAAGAATCTTATGTAGCAATACACAGGCCATGAAACCAAAAGAAAAACAAACAGCAAGTTGATCACTTAGGTGGAAAACAGCACTACAGTATAAGGAAATCATTAGACTTGGATTCCAGCCCAGCCTTTGATTGATGCTAACTTCTCCTGCCCTCAGTCTAGTACATTACTTCTGCAGGTTTTAGCGATTCCTGTTTGCCATGAGACATACATTTAAGGTAATTTTTAAAGGAAATAAGGATGACAAACGAAAAAACTCACTATGGACTTTGAAAGACTTTTCATGGCTAAACAAGCAATCTGAAATGCTCATTTAAAAGTGATGGGACTACCAAGACTACATCTCATAGAAACACACCATTCAAAGCACTTGCGAAAGGATTCTCAAAGGCAATATCTGTAAACATACAAAAAAGACAAGTAATAAAGCTGTTTTCTTTCAGTTATTAAAAAGCCCACTAAATAGGAAAGCAAAGAACACAAACCACACCTCCGGGTTAAAGCCGAGGTTACCACAGGCTTTCACGACGACGAACCTGATGCCTAAATTACCTTTTCCAGCATCTTCCGCTCTCTCTCTAGTCCAGCAGCTTCAAGCTGTTCTTCCTCTTCTAGCATGGCCGGGGTAATCACAGCAGTGTCCAGTTGTTCAACCATTGCTGGAGCCTCCGAGCCTGACGGGGGAGAAAGCTTTCAAATTGCAGTTTTAAAAAAATTACCAACTACTCAACTCCAACAAGAAACAGCCTTTCTCCCACCCGAGATGCACTGGAGCAAAAGCTGAAGACCGAGGGGACGCCAGCATCACCTCTCAGAAGACACCGTAAGTCTTCACAATGTCTACAAGTCGCCTGGACCACAGTTTACAACTCGGGATGCTCGGGAAAATGCAGTTGCCTATGTGAAATCTTCACCGGCATGCTAATACGTGCGATTCCGGGGTGTCCTCCACTCACCGTTGCAGTTTCCCAACCCTCCTTTCCTCCTCAGTCCCTGCCCGGGGTCGGCTCCCTCCCCGAAACTCCGCCGCAGCCTCCATGCTTGCCCACCTCAGCCCCGCAGGCTGCCACCCGCGCCCAAAAGGTTTTCCTCACTCACCGCCGCTGCCCGCGGGCCGTTCCGCTGGCATGCCTGGACACTCACCCGGGAACCGGGTCCCCTCCTCTCAGAGCCTGCAATGCCGCGAGCTAACTCCTCACAACCGCTGCCGGCCCAGCCTTCTAGCCAAATCCCCCGCCAGGGAAAAAAGCGCGCTTCTCCTTCGCGGGAAAATCCTGTCATCTCGCGATACCTTACATTCCCCACCCGCCCTCCCGCCCCGCTGCGCGAGATTTGGCGCAGCTTGCGGTTTTCGTCAGGACTGACCTGTGGCAACCGTAAACCTTTACCTGGACCTCTCTCAGGAGGAAACTGGGTCCCGCTGCCGAACTCAGCCTGTAACTATCCTGTGAGATTGGGCGAGGTGGCCGATCGTGGAGAACCCAGTTTCCTCACATATCTGGTTCCGAACTACGCAATTAAAGTTTGATAGTGCTGTTAATACTTTGCAAGGCGCCTTCCAACGCTGGCTGCTGTGATTGAGCACCCGCTAGCCCATGATCCTGTAGGTAGAGACGTCTGCGTATCTGCACGAGGATGTCAGAAACAGAAACATTTTTATAGGGCCAGCCTCGCCGCACCCGCAGCGCGCGGCTCACATCTTAAGTGAAAAATCCCCCAAAATGACAAAGAGGAGGGCTTTTTTGTGGGTGGGACGGGAGAGAGAAGGAACAGGAAATTAAGATTATGACTGGGTTAAAGAAAGCTGTTTAGGATAAGGGCAAGCTGAAAGAAGTGATGGACCAAGCGGAGTGGCCAGCAGAAGGAAGATTCAGGAAACCAAACAGGATTCATTCATTCGAGTGGGCAGTGAAGGAAGGAGCGGAGCTTTTCTTGTCCCTGGTTTTCACTTCAGCTTTCAATTCCTCCTTTTCTTGTTTGCATTCCTTTTCAACTATTTCCTTTGTCTCCCTCTCCAGGGCTCCCTTTCCCACCTCCAATTTCTTAAGATGTATGGCATTAAATATACCTACCATGTAACCACCCGTTTCCTTCATTTTGACTCCCACAACTTGTATGATTGTGTCTATACAAAATTTAAGAGTTTACAAGCCGGGTGCGGTGACTCACGCCTGTAATCCCAGCACTTTCGGAGCCCAAGGCGGGTGGATCACGAGGTCAGGAGTTCAAGACCAGCCTGGCCAAGATGGTGAAACCCTGTCTCTACTAAAAATACAAAACAGCCGGGCACGGTGGCAGGCGCCTGTAGTCCCAGCTACTCGGGAGGCTGAGGCAGGAGAATCGCCTGAACCTGGGCGGCAGAGGTTGCAGTGAGCAGAGATCGCGCCATTGCACTCCAGCCTGGGCAACAGGGAGAGACTCCGTCTCATAAAAAATAGAAACGAAACCTAGTCTCTATATTTTATTTTATTAAGATAGGGTCTCACTCTGTCGTCCAGGCAGGAGTGCAATGGCACGATCTCTGCTCACTGCAATCTCCACCTCCTGGGCTCAGTTGATCCTCCCACCTCAGCCTAGCAAGTAGCTGAGACTACAGGTGCGTGCCACCACGCCCGGACATTTTAGTGTCGGACATTAGCCCATTCCAGGCTAATTTTTGTTGGTTTGGGGTTTTTGTGTGTTTTTGTTTTTTGGTAGAGACGGTTTTTCGCCATGTTATCTAGACTGGTCTCGAACTCCTAGGTTCAAGGGATCCTCCCAACTCGGCCTCCGGAAGTGCTGAGAGTGCAGGCGTGACACATTGTGCCTGGCCCCTACAAACATTTCCAAAATTAGCCGGCTGTGGTGGCACATGCCTGTGGTCCTAGTACTTGGGAGGCTGAGGTGGGAGAATCACTTGATCCCAGGTGGTCAAGGCTGCAGTGAGCCGAGATTGTAACACTGCACTCCAGCCTGGGTGATAAAGCTACACTTTGTCTCAAAAAAAAAAAAAAAAAAAAAAAAAAAAAAAACCATGGGAATAAAGGGAAATCTTGAGTTGCTTCAAGGGAAATTCCAGGAACCTAGCTAGCCCTGACAAGTAAATAAGCAACTTGATAAGGAAGAAGGTAATGGTAGCCTAAAACAACAGCCCAGGAAGTTAGATTCAGGAGATGTTTGGTTCCTTTATAAAAACTAGAGATAATATCTTAACACATGTCTCTGAGTTGTTTTTTAGAAACCCCAAGCGCCACCAAACACATGTGCTGGCACTCTGCTGCCTCATTTGTTCTAAATTTATTCCTAGGGGCCTGGAGGAGGTCACACACACAAGCAGAGCTAGCATTCTTTTCTGCTGATCCCAAATTTTTATTTTTTAATTTTTAAAAATTGAGATGGAGTCTCATTATATTGCCTAGGCTGGTCTCAAACTCCTGGGCTCAAGCCATCCTCCCACTCAGCCTCCCAAGTCAAAGGGAAAGAAATTTTGGGATTACGGGCACACTCTACCACACCCAGCTCCCCAAATTTTTAGACAAAGCTTCACCTCCTGAACCAACTGCAAATCAGAAAACCTTTTAATCCATCTATGACCTACCTTTTAATCCACCTTTTGACCTACCTACCCTTTGAGATGGCGGTCGAAACAATACATAGACTCCATGTATTAATCAATGACTTTGCCTGTAATTTCTGCTTTCCTGAAATTTACCCCTGCCTTTAAAAATCCTTACCTGCAAGCCATCAGGGAGTTTGGGTCTTAAGCATGAGCTGCCCCAATTCCTACAGCTGCAAAAGCTCAGTGTGGAAGTCTTGTCTTCCTGAGCCAGGCAAGTGGACCACAGTTCAGTTCTATAACAGTACCTTACGTTAAATGGTTCAATTTGAAGCCCTCCAATCAGACCCTGCCAAGCCAACATTCCTAAATCTTTTCCCTTGCTCTCTGATCCCTTAAAATTTGCCCTAGACCTGGCCGGGCACGGTGGCTCACGCCTGTAATCCCAGTACTTTGGGAGGCCGAGGTGGGTGGATCACGAGGTCAGATTGAGACCATCCTGGCTAACGTAGTGAAACCCTGTCTCTACTAAAAAATACAAAAAATTAGCCGGGTGTGGTGGCACGCGCCTGTAGTCCCAGCTACTCGGGAGGCTGAGGCAGGAGAATGGCGTGAACCCGGGAGGCGGAGCTTGCAGTGAGCCGAGATCGCGCCACTGCACTCCAGCCTGGGCGACAGAGCGAGACTCCGTCTCAAAAAAAAAAAAAAAAAAAAAAATTGCCCTAGACCCTAAATCAGGGAGACAGACTTGAGCCCACTCCTGTCTCCTTGCTGACCACTTGCAATAAAGCCTTTCGTCAAAGGCAGGTGCCATAGTTTTTGGCTTTAGTGTGTAACGGGCAGTGAGCCCATTTGCTTGATAACATTTTTACTCCTAGTTCATTCAATATTATTTCAAGATAAAATGTAGCCTCTGTTAATAGCTACTCTTAAATCCTATCTCCTAATCGAAAACTTAGCTGTTTCATTCTACTTAAGATTTGCTTTTTGTTGTGTTTTGAGACAGGGTCTTGCTCTGTTGCCCAGGCTAAAGTGCAGTGGCACAATCATAGCTCACTGCAACCTCAAATTCCTGGGCTCAAGTGATCCTCCCACATCAGCCTCCTGAGCAGCTAAGTCTACAGGTGCATACCACTACACCCAGCTAATTTTTTAAAATTTTCTGTAGAGACAGGGTTTTGCTATGTTACTCAGGCTGGTCTTGAACTCCTGGGCTCAAGGGATCCTCCCACCTTGACCTCCCAGAGTATGAAATTACTGGCATGCCAGAGCGTGAGCCACTTCACCCGCCACCCTCACTCTACTTAAGGTTTTTGGGGCCGGGTGCAGTGGCTCATGTCTGTAATCCCAGCACTTTGGGAGGCCAAGGTGGGTGGATCATGAGGTCAAGAGATCGAGACCATCCTGGCCAACATGATGAAGCCCATCTCTACTAAAAATACAAAAATTAGCTGGGTGTGGTGGCACACACCTGTAATCTTAGCTACTAGGGTAGCTGAGGCAGGAGAATCACTTGAACCTGGAAGGCAGAGGTTGTAGTGAGCGAAGATCATGCCACTGCACTCCAGCCTGGCGACAGAGCAAGACTCCATCTCAAAAAAAAAAAAAAAATTTTTTTTGACCTTTACCAACCTATCCTCCAAAATTTCTTTCCCTTTGACTTTTGAAACACTTTTTATGGGGTTTTTCCCTAATGTACTGAAAAATCTTTCCTTGTTCCTTCTTTTGAATTCTGATATGGTTTAGCTGTGTCCCCCACCCAAATCTCATCTTGAATTGCAGCTTCCATAATTCCCACATGTTGTGGGAGGGACCTGGTGGGAGATAATTGAATTATGGCAGCAGTTTCCCCCATACTGTTCTTGTGGTAGTGAATAAGTCTCACGAGATCAAGATGAGATGGTTCTATAAGGGGAAACCCCTTTCGCTTGGCTCTCATTCTCTCTCTTGCCTGCCACCAAGTAAGACATGCTTTTCATCTTCTGCCTTCTGCCATGATTGTGAGGCCTTCCCAGCCACGTGGAACTGTAAGTCCATTAGCCTCTTTTTCTTTATAAATTACCCAGTCTTGAGTATGTCTTTATCAGCAGCATGAAAATGGACTAATACAAATTCAACTGTGGCCCACCTCCCCAAATCTTTCTTCCATTCATTGTTTTTCTCTAGAAACTTTGTTCCTTGGACCTTCTGCTCCACAGGCAAGAGAGAGAATTTGTCCAAATACACGAAATGGAGCTCAAGAAAACTTCATCTGATTCTCAAAGAACACACATCTCAACTGACATCTGGCCCCACACTTGGTAATAAAAGTGCATTGGTGCATTTCCTGGCACGTCTTTGCCGTTGTGCAAACCCTCCCTTCAAAGTGGCTGTGAACACTCTTGTTCATTCACTTTTATTTAAGGGTCTACATTTATTTTGTTTTTTCTTTGTTTTTTCAATGCCTCCTGGTTAGAAAGAATGAATAACACCTACTATTGATTGCCTAACAGGGTTACTATAGTCAATAATAATTGTACATTTTTAAATAACTTAAGGAGTATAATTGGTTTATAACTCAAAGGATAAATGCTTAAGGGGATGGATACCCCATTTTCCATGATGTTTTTATTTCACAGTGTATGCCTGTATCAAAACATCTCATGTACCCCATAAACATATACACCTACTGTGTACCCACAAAAATTAAAAATTAAATTAAAATGTCTCCTGGATACCAGGAACTATCACAGGAGCTGTACAGCAATGAACCAGACAGACTACATCCCTGTTGATATGGAACTTACATTCCAGGAGTTGGGATGAAAAGGGGGAAATTGCAAAATATTAGAATAGGGTGGCATGAGAGTGACAGGATAGTTATTTTAGATTGGGTAATTGGATGTCTGAAGAAGTGATAGGCACTTTTGTGTGTGTGTGTGTGTGTGTGTGTGTGTGTGGGATGAAGTTTCACTCTTGTTGCCCAGGCTGGAGTGCAATGGCGCAATCTTGGCTCACCGCAACCTCCGCCTCCCGGGTTCAAGCAATTCTCCTGCCTCAGCCTCCCGAGTACCTGGGATTACAAGCATACGCCACCAAGCCTGGCTAATTTTGTATTTTTAGTAGAAACGGGGTTTCTCCATGTTGGTGAGGCTGGTCTCAAACTCCCGACCTCAGGTGATCCACCCGCCACGGCCTCCCAAAGTGCTGGGATTACAGGCAAGAGCCACCACACCCAGCCGAAGTGATAGGCACTTTAAGCAGAGAACCAAATGCCAAGAAGCTAGCCAGCCTGGGGGAAGAGCAATCCAAGCAGAAACTACACGTGTACAGAGAGTAAAGCAGGAATACACTTGGGCATGTTTGAATATCAGAGAGAAGGCCAGTATCACTGAAGCCGAATTGGCAAGGGGGAATGGCACAAAAAGTCAGAGGCAGACCCTCCAGATAAGGCACTGGGGATTTTCTTCTAAGTATGATGTTACAAGTCATTTTTCCCTACCCACACAAAATGTCTTCCTCTTATAGAATCCTTTTCATATCAATGTGCATAACCATCCATCCAATCATAGAAGTCAAAACAAAAGAAAACCCTGGCTCCCTCTTGTTACGGTAGATGGCCCCACTTCTGGCCTACCTAACAAAGGAAACAATAGCTACAAGACAGAATTCCCCATTCAGCTTACCAACATCAAATTTACAAACCCATCTGCATCCTGAATACCTTTCTCACTCTCTCATCTTGTGCTCTGGATCCAACTCCCTGCTGCCTATTCAGAAATTATTTTAGATTAGAAATCATTATTCCCTCTTTTTAAAAGATAAAATCTCACTCTGTCACCCAGGCTGGAGTGCAGTGGTACCATCATAGCTCACTGTAACCTTTAATTCCTGAACTCAAGGAATCCTCCCACCTTAGGCTCCAAGTAGCTGGGATTACAGGTGCAAGCCACTGCACCCAGCTGGAACCTCCTATTTCCCTACCAACTATTTTCAGTTCTCTCTTCCCCTTTAAAGCTTACTTTTATAATTGTCTACACTAGCAATGTTTAATTCCTTGCCTCCCACTGATTCTTCAACCCTCTGTCTCATTGCAACATTCAGCATACATCAAAGTAGCCCACTAAGGTTTAATGACTTCAATGTTGCTCAGTTTAATGGACATTCTCAGTTCTTATTTGAATCTCATTGCAACATAACACTGTTAATCACTCCTTTATGGAAACACTCTTGTCCGTTGTCTTTTCTGACCCCACATTCTCTTGATATTCCTATTCCTGACTTTTACTAGTTCTCTTCTACCCAACCTTTAAATGTTTAACTTTCCGAGTGAACCAGAAACTATTTGAGTTTCTGGTCACTGCATAATATCTATAATAGAAAAAAATTTAAATGAAAAGGTAAGTGCAGTGAGGAATGGACCGAAATAAAAACAATCCAGTCATCCATATCTACCATAGGTTAGTGCCATGCACTATTTTGGGTACTAGCGCTTCAGTAGTAAATAAGACAATGTTTTTGACCTCAGAGTTTACACTGTAGTGGAAACAATAGACAGCACTATAAAGTAGTGTCAGTTGGTGATATATAATAGAAATTATAAAGAAATATGAAGCAGGGTAAGGTCATGAGAATAGTGGATACATGTTGAGAGAAAAGTCCTCTGAGGAAGTGACCTTAAGCAGCGGTATAAAGTATAAGCCATACAAAGACCTAGACAAAAAACACTTCAGAGGGAAGAAAGACCTCAGGTAGATAGAAGGCTGACAAATTGAAAAATGGCAGTAAGTCCACTGTGTCTACAGGCAGAATGTTTATAAATTGCAGCTGAAATTGGAAAGATGCACAGTGACCAGATCAAGTAGGACCATGGAGACTAGGATAAAGAGTGTGGATTTTTATTACGAGGAATGCCATTAGAGGATCTTGAGTAAAAAAATGATAGAAATTAATTTACACTTTTTTTTTTTTTTGAGACGGAGTCTTGCTCTGTCGCCCAGGCTGGAGTGCAATGGTGTGATCTCGGCTCACTGCAACCTCCGCCTCTTGGGTTCAAGCGATTCTCCTGCCTCAGCCTCCCAAGTAGCTGGGATTACAGGCACCTACCACCATGCCCAGCTAATTTTTGTACTTTCAGTAGTGACAGGGTTTCACTATGTTGGTCAGGCTGGTCTCAACTCCTGACCTCAAGTGATCCGCCCACCTCAGCTTCCTAAGGTGCTGGGATGGCAGGTGCGAGCCACCGTGCCCAGTTGATTTACACTGTTAAAAGGTAATGAAACATGTAAGCTAATTAAAAATTTCATAAGATGTGTTTGCTTTTCAAGGGCTCACATAAGAGGCTTTTTTGTTGCCTAACTTACCCCATTTTTTTTTTTTTAAGACGGAGTCTCGCTCTGTCACCCAGGCTGGAGTGCAGCCGGCGATCTTGGGTCACTGCAAGCTCCACCTCCCGGGTTCACGCCATTCTCTTGCCTCAGCCTGCCGAGTAGCTGGGATTACAGGAATACCCCACCAAGCCTGGCTAATTTTGTATTTTTAGTAGAAATGGGGTTTCTCCATGTTGGTAAGGCTGGTCCCGAACTCCTGACCTCAGGTAATCCGCCTGCCTTGGCCTCCCAAAGTGCTGGAATTAAAGGCGTGAGCCACCGTGCCCAGCCCAATTTTTTTTAAAATGTTTTTGAGAAAGTGTCTCACTCTGTTGCACAGGCTGGAGTCCAGTGGTGTGATCAGTGTAGCCTCAACCTCCCAGGCTCAGGCAATCCTCCTACCTCAGCCTTCCAAGTAGCTGAGACTACAGGCACATGCTACCATGCCCAGCTAATTTTTAAATTTTTTGTAGAGATGGTCTCACTATGTTACCCAGGCTAATCTGGAGCTCCTCAGATCAAGTGGTGCTCCTGCCTCAGCCTCCCAAAGTGCTAGGATCACAGACATGAGCCACCGTGCTCAGCTGTGACCAGAATTTGAAGCTTCACTTTCTGCTTTTATACCATTGTGTATAGCATTATGCCTGAGGATGAAAAATGAGAACATATATACCCCATTGTTGTCAATTTTATATACTCCTTCAAGTCTATATTCATTTATCATTTACATATTTATTATAAAGATGATTTTTCAAATACATTGCAATAATACAAAAGTCATTTTACTTTAAATTTAATAAAGTCATTATTGTTTACGTAAATGTTCAAATGAAACACTTTCATAATGTAATTTTAGTCAAATTTCCTTCCTGGTGTTTACTGGAAAATAAATGGAATCTACAAAATAAAATGCACATAAGCAAATTCTCATTAATTGAGATCAAGGGATGATCAATATGAACAGCAGAATATCTTGAAAGAAAGGCAATTTTGGAATTTCCCAAATCTTAAAACTTTATGTAGCCTAACAAAATATTAAGAGGCAGTGCTTGGCAATAATCAGGGCTTAAGACATATAAGTGTATTAATTCAAATTTCCCATGTTTGCAATTACACTCTTACCAAGCAAACAA